>NC_000012.12:67914673-68066188 GCF_000001405.40 Homo sapiens
GGGCTCACTGCCTTCCAGTCAGTTTTTCTAAGTAACTCTTACTTTTAGTCCCTGAACTTCAAACCTATTACTTGTAGTCCCTGAACTTCAAACCTATCCTATGTTCTGCAATGCATATATCTGGCTTTGCTTTCATACTGCTACCTGATCTTATTATCTTCTTCCTGTCAAATAATCATTGCATTACTAGGAGAAGAAATGAGGATTTACAATGTAACTTACAGCAGAAGGATGAGGAAGGAAATTTTCAGCACTACAATAAGGTCAAGTTAAAACTATGTGTTAGAAATCTCCCATCAAAAATGTTTACGCTATAATAGCACTATCCAATTGGAAAATAGTACAAACCACGTATGCAACTTAAAGTTTTCTGGTAACCATAATTTTAAAAGTAAAAAAAAAAACAGTAAAATTCATTTTAATAAGTCTAAATGCAATATATCCAAAGTACTATTATTTCAACATGTAATACAAATTTTTAAAAATATATTGAGATGATTCAAAATTCAGTGTGTGTTGTACACCCACAGCACATCTTAATGCATTCTACCTACATTTGAAGTCCTCAGTAGTCACATGTTACCATACTAAACAGCATAACTCTATAATATAGTATTATGCCCCTCAGAAAGCTTTTAGGTAAACCTCAGTCTACAGTCCTGAAAAATATTATGAGTGGCAGAGCTAATGCTGAATCAATATTTACATTTTATGTAATACTTAGCATGCAATTAGAGAATATATTGATTATATTATTTATTCAACAAATATTTATCAAGTCATTAAAATATGCTATGCCAGGTAAGATGTTGGTAGATCCTTTGAAGGGTACTGTCAACACTTACTTCCTGATTGTTTTACAAAAGAGTGATCAGCTTTGCCCCTTTGAAGTATACAGACATGATACAATTTAGTCTCCTTTGTTCTTCTGTGTAGAAAGAAGGACCAGGAGGCCGGGCGCGGTGACTCACACCTGTAATCCCAGCACTTTGGGTAGCCAAGGCAGGCGGATCATGAGGTTGGGAGTTCAAGACCAGCCTGGCCAACATGGTGAAATCCCGTCTCTACTAAAAATTAAAAAAATTAGCTAGGCATGGTGGCATGCATCTGTAATCCCAGCTACTTAGGAGGCTGAGGCAGGAGAATTGCTTGAGCCCGGGAGGTGGAGGTTGCAGTGAGCCAAGATTGTGCCACTGCACTCCAGCCTGGGTGATAAAGCAAAACTCTGTCTCCAAAAAAAAAAAAAAGAAAAAGAAAGAAGGACCTGGAGCCAACAGGGTGTCACCTTAGAGGCAGGCACCTGAGAGCAGGCAAAGGAATAATTCCGTCTGCTGAAATACTAGGAGAGGTTGCAAGAACACTTTGAACAGTGCCTCAGGGCTGAGACTAAACACAAAACAATAACATTTATAACATGCTGACATTTTTAATTGTGAAAGAAACTGTATATGACTTGGAAATTACAGAAAACAAAGAAAGAAATCACTCATAATTCAACAATTTCTATGTATTTCCATTGCACATTTTGATGCATTTCCTTCCATCCAGTCTTTTTGCCCAGTCCTCACCATTTATGTCCCAGACCTGACAAGTCTGAGCCATGAGAGAATGTTATGCTTGCCTTTGATATCTAACTTGTGATGATGTGAGCCCCCACCCCCACTCCCACCAGCTTGATTCCCAGGAACTAGCTGGCCCCCAGGGGTCTCCTGGCTGCAGTCTCCCAGGTAGGACTCCTGCTGTCTCAGGAATGCCCCACAACCCCCGTTTCTCTAAGCTGGCTGGCTTCTTACCTTGCACCTCACTGTGCCCCTGTGCCTACCATCCTCACAACATCACCGCTCTTCAGGGACACCAGTCTGCAGCTAATCTAACTTCACCTAGCCCAGTGAGGGGCTTCTGCAGGTTCCACTCTGAAGCTCTTACTAAGGGTCTACAGACCCAAACTCACAGCATTCTGCCAGTGATTAGGGCTAACTCAGCTCACACTCATCAGAACTCTCTAGGCATTTCTGTACCTTAGAGTATAGGCCTGACTCAACCCCTAAATGGAGGCCGCTTCATTTTCAGAGCCAGAATTAGCCTCTTCCCAGGATGACTGGACAGCAGGAGCACATGTTCCTTTATGGAAACATCTCTCACAAACAAGGCTGTGGTCTGGTTCTGTGGCCTTAGCACGATCATTACAGCAGCCTAACTATGAACTTCTCACTGCCTGGGCTAGAGTCTTGTCTTGTTTTCTGTTTCTCTTCTTTTTCCGCTTTTTCTTTCTCTTTTTTTCTTTCTATTCACCTGCCTTTCTTCTGCCTTCCCTGCTTCCTTCCTTTTTCCTTTTTAAAATTTTACTTATAGAAAATGGTATCTTAGAAACATTCTTCTGTTATAAAAGTACAATATATTCTCATCACGAAAAACGGGAAAATTCAAATAAACAAAAAAAGCAGAAGAAAAAAACCTCATGAATGTAGTATTTCCGAGCTAACTACCCTGTAAATCTAACACCTTGATTATCTTAAGAATCTGAAAGCTCAGGCACCTCAAGTATCAGAACCCTGAGATAACTCAGAAATCTGAAAAGTTGGTTGCTAAACTAAAGCTTTGATTGATAATAAATTAGTGTTATCTTAGCAAGTTCCCAAGTATAGGTAGGTATTTATGTAAAAGTTTATCATAATAATTTCACTTGCTGCTTTATTAAAGGAATTGTTAAAAGTTATTTATCATTATATAAGACCAAAACTTTGGCCAGAAAATTGGAGAAAAAAAAATCCAAACTTGAACTTCTAAGTTATACAGATGGTCCCCAACTTATGATGGTTTGACTTATGAATTTCTTACTTGATTATAATGTGAAAAATGATACACATTCAGTAGAAACCATGTTTTGAATTTCGATCTTTTCCTGGGCTAGCAATATGTCGTACAAAACTCTTACATGAGATATTTGACATTTTATTATAAAATAGGCTTTGTGTTCAATAATTTTGCCCTACTCTGGGCTAATTTAAGTCTTCTGAACACACTTAAGCTAAAATGTTCTACAGTGTAAGCTAGAATGTAGGTAGGTTGGATGTACTAAAAGCATTTTCATCAAACCATGGTAGGTTGAGGGGCATCTGTAAACTGCTACCAACAATATCATATCCACACACTTAGGAAATGTCGACGTCCGCTAGGACTTTCTCAGTCATTAGTGTTTCTTTTCTCTTTCTTTTGTGAACTACTAAAAATAATACAAAATGGGAATCAAAAAAATCTGGATTCTAGCTGTTTCTTTATTACATAGTATCTGTTTCCCAGATGTCAAATGAGGATAAGAAAATTTGTCTTAGAAGCTTTGTGAGGACAAAAATAAGACATTTGCTGTGAAATAACTTCAAAACAGTAAATCAATTGCATGATACATGGCATTGTTATTTTTAGAAAAAAATATTTCTCAACGACTTTTTACATGGTTGTTACCATCATTAGAATTGTTTTGGTGAAAAATGATACCAAACAGGATAGAATTTCTTTGCATTGCTCTACTCTTATATTTTAAAGTTTGGGGATCCAGGTGCTTAAGATTGAAGACATACCAGTGACAAGCTCAGTTTTTCCTGCAGGCACTTTGAATTCCAGCCTTCCAATTTGAACCTAACACCATTAACTTAGTTTTAGCTACCATGTTTTTAAAGGCACAAAACTCTGTTTCTGTAAATAACCTGAACAGAATGCCACACTCACACTCATACCTCCATCATTGCTTCTCATTGGCCTTAGAGACATTTCTCAGGACTTGAATTATAAAATATCATGAACAAACCGGCAAACCAAAAAATTTGCTCCACACCATTTAAAATGAAATAAAGTTAGTATTTATCATTTATAAGCTTTACAGGGAACTTTGCTAAGGAGCCAGTGACTTCCATATAGAAGGCAGTGGTATATTCAAAATTTAGATGAACGTATATGATGAAATCTTATGCAACTCTGCTAAAGTTTGGAGAACAATTTTTTCACATGATGTAGAGGACACGTGTGCTACTGAGTAGCAAGGAAATAAGTGTTTAGCAGATTTACAAATCCCATGTCTGCTCCTGCCCCAGCTCCGAGGGTCACAGCACCAGCAGGTGTATGGCTGGAGGCACCTGGTGTGGGAGCAGGCAGTGAGGTCCCCACACTGCCAGTCAGCTACAAGCATCTCCCACTGTTTCTCATTTTTCCATGATTTTCACTTCTTGGGGCTCTGTACCAATCAGGTAAAAATTACATATACCTAGTTCCTTCCCATGATAGATTCTAAAGTTAAGTGGCATGATGGCGAACATGGTGCAATTTAAAGTATGCAAAAGCCCCTGTTTTCACTCTTTCTTCCTGAATCTGTGTGTGTGTGTGTGTGTCTTTGTCTCTCTCTCACACACACACATGCACACACACAGGTACACACACACAATTTGTTCAGATAGAATATATCATACTACTCCATTCTTCTTAGAGTTAAACCAAGTGATGACCCCTATTTTAAATACATATTTAAGGTGAAAGAGAAGTCCTTGAACTATTATTGGTCATTAGAACAAGATTTTGAATGAGTTGACCAAACTACCTATTCAATCAACTTAAAGGGGATGGAACTATATTCAAGAACATTGTGATTGTGAGAAAATAGGTATAAGGTATGGGGCACTCCCAGGATAAATTCTTGGGTGATGCTACCAGGAGGTCATGCCATGCCATGGGGCCTGAGGCAGTCTTAGGACACTGGGCGTCTTGAGGTGGGAGAATGGCAGAGAGAGAGCATTCAAATCCAGGTACATAACAACCACCAGCAGACAAACCAGAAGTTTAAGCAGCCGCATTGCAATGGGAAAATCAGAAGGCCTGGGGGCCCCAGACCTAGATTTTACTCAGCTTGCATTTTCTCTATGAAAGAAATTCTGAACACTGTAATAAGCTTGTGAGTAAACAATGACTCATTAATTCAGCACTTTCAAAGAGATTCTCAGACAGGCAAAAACAATACATGGAGCCTGAACCAAAGAGAACATCTTGAACTTCTTCCAGGCAGAACAGGCCTAAATATTGGGAGGTATGTAGAAAGAGAATAAGGAGAGGATAGAAAAGAATACATAAATCATATTGCATATCTTCCTTCTTCTTTCTCCAAGACCATTAATTCAAGTGACAGAAGGTAATAAGGAATAGAAAAGGCTAAAATAAACATTAAAAGGGAAGTAAGTCACTAAGTTGAATATGCAGTCTGGGGATGTTGTGGCTGAAGGTTATGCTTCATTTGCTTTGACTTTAGGATTAATGTTTGTGGGCTTATTGAAGCTATCTAGACCCCAGACCTTTCCTTTGGTATCAGTAGACAGTACTTTATCCTTTCTCACTCGTATCGGTTAAATTAGCAACCAGTATCTTGCTCACCCTTGACTAGTACTTCTTCCATTCACTCCACATCTCTACATTCATACATGCACACCTGTGCACACACATGTGCAAACACACACATACAGATACATAACACCACAGTCAGCTTGCTTCAGTTTGCTGCTCTTCATAGCTAGCTCTAGCCCTAGAAACCTGGTTGTTCACAGCAGGGAATACAAACTGAATTGAGCCCTCCTGCCTTCTGTGGGAAAAACCACAGGGTCCCAAGTAAGGATAGATTTCTGGGGCCTAGAACACCAAGAGCTATGAGCCACTTTTATATGCACTTCGGCAGAGCTTCCAGGAAACAAGACAGCTGACAAGCACCTTAGTTTATCAAAACCAAGATAAAAATGCAAATAATGAACTTGAAGCAACAGCAGGACAAGTCAGATGGAAAAACATAACTCACCTCCTTTTCTCCACCCCACGCAGTCTTTCTTTCAGAGCAAGGCACTATTACCATGAGGACTATGCTAAGAATGTATGAGAGAAAGCAAGAGAGAGCTGTCTCAGGTGGGTACATTTACCTGGCAGATCTGCAGGAAGTGTTGCTTATAAAAGCATGGTTGAAGATTGTACCTGGGCTGATGATGCATAGTGAAGATTTTTGAGGTTTTCCCTTCATCCATTAGCCTGGCATTCGGTCACTCTCAAAACATGTATTCAGTGCTTGCTGTGTGCATAAGACACTTTGCTCTGGGGGTATGAATCAGATACATCTCTATACTCAAGGAGTTTGCAATCCAGGAGGGAGCTGAGCAGATACACACATAAATAAGATATAAAGTAGAAAGTGATAGGAGCCCTAGGAAAGGAATTTAATGAATAGAGGTGTCAGCAAAGGTTTCTCAGAAGGGTGAAGCTGAGCCCTGAGTGAGATGGGGTCCTGCCTTCCTCACTGAGGGCAGAGAATGATCAAAGCACACACTGTGGTACCAGTGCCTGTGAGGAAGCAGCTGCACCAGGCTACAGCTAATGGCATATGGAAGGATCTCAAGGAACAAGAGCTTGGGGGTATAGCTTAGGCATATATTTGAGGTCTTTGAATGACATGTAAGGATGTTTAAACTTTATTCTGGAGGTAGAACAATGAAAATCCAAAAGCCCAAGGTCAAGGCGGGTTGTGAAAGTTTAAGTCAACAAAGATACTGACATGAGGAAGGGGAGCCCATTCAGAAGCTATTGCAGGAATCCAGGTAAGTGGGGGAAGGGCCTAAGGACGAGTGGGGCTAGGAAGAGCAAGAGATGGAAGAAACAAACAAACATTGATTGATGCATGTCCCATTATTCAGAAAAAGCTGACAGCTGAAGAAGCCAGCATAGAGGGTTTTCCACATGCTTCTTGGTTTTCTCCAGCATGTTAAAGCTAGCAGCAGGGATGTGAGTAACTGGGGATGATTGGCAGTGCCTGGGAATTTGCCCTTTGTTCCAAACATACTGCTTACATAGCTCCAACTACAGCTTGGAGTAGTTGAGGTTAAGCAAAGCAAAAGGGTGATTCTAATCTTACAGGAAAGAAAGAATTAGGATTGACAGAAAATATAGTAAAGCTGCTTTGAAAGCAAAAATAAAAAATTGACATTGGGTACTATATCTCACAAATGTTTAGACAATGGACATGTTTCAGGATATTAGTGTCTTTCAGAAATATTACTGAAATGGATTTTATCTGAGGGAAGAGGGCATCTTGAAAAAAATTTGTTTTGATACAGGGTCTCGCTCTGTCGCCCAGGCTGGAGTGCAGTGGTGTAATCATGGCTCCCTGCAGCCTTGAGCTCCTGGGCTCAGGTGATGCTCACACCTTAGCCTTCTGAGTAGCTGGGACTACAGGTGTGTGCAAAACACAGTTTGTTTGTTTTTTAAATTTTTTATAGACACAAGGTCTGGCTATGTTGTCCAGGCTGGTCTCAAACTCCTGAGCTCAAGTGATACTTCCACCTTAGTGTCCCAAAATGTTGGGATTACAGGCATGATTCACTGTGTCCACCCCCAGGGTTTCTTCACCACACCAGCACAATGTCAGCAGTGAAAGGGCCTGGAAGCTGGTAAAGCTTAAAAGATACAGACTGGACCCGAGGCACTGAGTTGGTTTAATACTGTGAGCTGCAATGTGGGTGCTCACTTGAGTGTGCCATGAATGTGAAAATGCATTTCCAAGGCATCTAAACTACCCTTACCTGCCTCTGTGAAAAAATCAGTCACTATGCAGAAGGAAGGAGCTTGACATTTCTTTTATGGTAGGAATGGTTGAAGGGGTAGGAACTTGCCTCTTGGATATCCTACCAGCTAGATGTGCAGGGAAAGGCAAGCTTTTATTTTGCTCTCCTGGGCAGATCAGTTACCACATTAAACCCAAACAAAACAACCTGGAGAAAAAGATTCATGAGGTGTCAGACGTTTAATTTCCAAAGTGTACAAGAGGGGAATGTTTTCAAATCCTGTTTCACAGCCATAATTCACATGCTTTGTACTTGTATATTTCTGTAGGTTATTGGTCACATGAAGCAAATATGGAATTTCACAAGTTCTACACATGGTGGGAGGCAGGAGCAGGCTCCCAAGGTGTCAGCTTTTAATGATGTTGTATATTTAAGGAGCAATTGATGCCAGTCTAGAACCCTTTTGGCATGTGCATATGGAAGATGTTACTGGTGTGTGACAATCCAGTTTTTATGCTACTGTGTTTTGCGTGCCTACTACGTGCTAAGGTCTATATACATAATCACATTTAATCTTCACAGCCACCCCACAGGAAGTCTTATTACCCCTATCTTGCAAACAAGGGAAAAATGAGGCACAGAGAAAGAAGTGCAAGAGGCAGAGGTGGAATTTGTTTATCCAATTATTAGGCCTTAAGATGCAATCAGCATTGTTGACCAGCGCCTGGTCCCACTCTTCTCAGACACTGCATTCTCTTCCTATTTTTCTGGTTGAACCTTCTTTTGTTCTTTCTTTAGCTTTCCTTTAAATGCTGATCATTACGGATTGAGTTGCATCTTAACAAAATGTCTCTGTTGGAGTCCCAACATGTGGTACCTCAGAATGTGACCTTATCTGGAGATAGGGTCTTTATAGGGGTCATCAAGTTAAAGTAAGATCATTAGTCAGGGCTGTAATCCAATACGGCTGATGTCCTCATGAAAAGGGGAAAATCCGGACACAGACATGCGCACAGGGAGAATAGAAGATGAAGATTAAGGTAGAGACTGGGACGATGCTTCCACAAATCAAGGAATGCCAAAGGTTGCCAGCAAACCACCAAAGCTAAGGAAAGGCATTGGACAGAGTCTCCTCTCACAGCCTCAGAAGGAACCAACCCTGCTAACACCTTGACCTTGGACTTTTAGCCTCTAGAACTGTGGGACTACAAATGCCGTTGTTTAAGCCACTCAGCTTGTGGTACGCCTTGTTACAACAGTCCTAGCAAACTAATACACAGCTATGCTTCAGTAAAAGGCACCTCATGGAGAAAGACCTCTGCCTACCTCCCCAGGCTTGCCTGACTTCATCCTCATATACTAGCCACCTGCACCCCACCAAATAATTAACTTCTGCTAGTTTCCTGGACACCCCAAGCCATTGTGTGCCTTGTTCCCTTGCTATGATATTTCCCCTTTCTGGAACACCTCCATCAATGTTCCAGCTCAATTATCACCTCCTACAGGAAGCCTTCCCTCATTTCCTCCTATGCCTATCACTCAAGAAGTATTAACCACACTTTTCTCTGTGCTGTAGCTTTTTTTTTTGTACCTGGTTCTATGGTTACCTTTACACTGCATTGTAACCTGGTATTCATGGGCTTATCTGTGTCCCCTGTGGAGCTGTCAGTCTCTGAAAGGCCAGTGCCTACTTTATTTCCTCTCTAGATTCCAGCACTGAGATGATGCCAGGTGTCAGCCCTCCTTGGAAGCCTTAGGAAGGTCTCTCCAATTGCCCTACCCCAACCACAATATAGAGGACTATAAAATGAGCACATAGTGGGAGGAGACAGAGTGGTTCCCTGATTACATGTATGAACGCAGCTAGAGAGAGAATATGTCCTTCCAATGTGGGTGAGGTAGAAAAGCAGCATCTGTGACAGCATGAAGAGGAGGAAATAGGAGTTGCTGGACCTATTGAGGAATTGTCTGATAGGGAACCTAAGTTATCAGGCATCCAATCTTTTTAGTCACATTGGAAAGTAATCTCAAGAGACAGATGATTCAGGGTCCCCTGGCTCTTGGTCCTTAATCTCTGGTTTTATATAACTCCCCTTATCCTGCTTCCATGTTTCTCAGACAACCTCTCATTCCCATCTGGATCTCCCACTGAACAAGAATACGATAAGTGCATGGATTCTACGTGTTTCCAGTCCTTGAGCAGTGATTGCTCATGGCCAGTGCACAAAGTGGCTTTGGATTGTTTGGCTCCCGAGCAGTCTGACAACAACCAGAGAAGGCTTGGAGCATGTCAGTATGAGAATTTCTGGTCTGAATGACAGATACATTTGTCAAATTCAATCAATAAGCTGTCATTCTGGTAGCCATCCCAGTCTCCTTTGGGTTTTGCTTAGTGTAAACTAGTGAGTTAAATCGATCTTGGTTTGTATTTATTAGGTAAATAGTAATACTAGCACCTGAGCTGGGCGCCGTGGCTCACGCCTGTAATCCCAACACTTTGGGAGGCCAGGGTGGGCAGACCACTTGAGGTCAGGAGTTCGAAAGCAGCCTGGCCAACATGGTGAAACCCTGTGTCTACTAAAAATACAAAAATGAGCTGGGCGTGGTGGCAGGCACCTGTAATCCCAGCTACTTGGAAGGCTGAGGCAGGAGAATCGCTTGAACCCAGGAGGCGGAGGTTGCAGTGAGCCGAGATCACACCACTGCAGTCCAGCCTGAACAACAGAGAACGACCTTGTCTCAAAAAACAAAACAAAACAAAACAACACTAGCATCTAAAACAAACAGCCTACATCCTAGTATCCTAGTGGTTTAATAATAAAGGCTTATTTCTCACTCATGTCCTTACATTCCAGTCCTTACAGGGTGGGTGAGGACTTTGTAGTAATTCAGTCCTACCTCCTCATTGTGTCTTCTTTACTAAGCTGGAAATCATGTGGAAATAAAAGCAATTTTGCTTTCATGTAGAAGATAAAAGGGAATGGATATGGCAAGTGGCCCATATCGCAAACACCCTTGTGCTCCTGGACAGAATTTCATCACATGGCCACTCCAAGCTGAGGAAAACTGGAAAATGTGGTTGAGCCAGATGCTTGGGAAAAAGAGAACTTGGCAATTGGCCACCCCAAGTGGTCTCTGCCACATAAGGTCACAATAAACTGACACTCTAGATCCTTCTTTGGACAATACCGTGGCCACTTCCAGACTCTTCCTTCCTGACACTGATTGCTATACCTGAACCAAGAAGAGGGTGGTGCATGTTCATTGAATAAATGAATAGAACTTTTACTCTTCTCAACTCTCTTTGGCAAGCTTTAGTCGTTCCCTCTAAGTGGATGTCCTCTCAAATAACTTCATCTCTCTTCTCTCCTTCTGAGCTCCAACCTTACATTCCCAATTCTTTCCTGGGTACCTTCACATGAGGTTCAACCATTTCAAATTCAATATGACAAACCTAAGCTCAGCAAGCTCTTCCTGTGCTGAGCTTTGTTTTTCTTACACAACGCTTAAGGCAAGATCCTTATCTATCTCCAGTTTCTATCCCTCCAAGCATCTAGTACAACTTTGCATGCTATTAATAGTCATCTTTTGAATAAATGTTTCTGTTGTGGAATTATGTAAACTACGCTAACCTTAGATTAGCAGAAAAAAATGTAATTTTTCTGTTTTTCTATAGCTTACCTGATATTCCTCACACCACCTACCCCTCTGTGTCTGATAATCCAGTCTGTTGTAAACTCTGTTGCATAAAATAATTGAAAGACTTTTTATGTAACTCAGTCTATCTTTTTTTTTTTTTTTTTTGGACATTCCATCCTCAAATGTCCCTTTCCTCTGCTCTCTTCAAGAGGCATCTGTGGCTATGGCTGTACCTACCGAATCCAGGCTCAGGTAATCTGGCCTGTAGCCCTCAGCCACAGGGTCTGCCTGTTTAATCTCACCACAGTAACATCCCTAGTAAACTTCCCCTAGCGCTGTTATCTAACCTCTGCATGTCCTCCACAGGGGCCCAGAATGTCAGGATACCCAAGAGAGTGGAGGAAGAATTGGGAGAACTAAATATAGGCCTCCTTTGGCCTAAGCATGCAACTGCTGCAAAGGTTACTCTGATGGAGCCCATCAATGTTGATGTGAGGGAAAGAGGGGCATCTGTGAGACTCTTCCCACAGTCCCCAACTGGAAATAAGGAACCTACTCCGCTCTCTGCTTTGCTTGTAACCAGCCACCTCTACCACCCTTCCAGGAATTCTCCTATTGAAAGGAGGGTCCATCTGTAACACCCATCCATGCCAGCTTCCTCCTAGTTCTCCTGAAGTCCACCATGGGCCTGCTTCTTCTTCCACTGTGGCCAACACTTTCCTAGCCCCATAGCTACTGCTTTTCCCGGGTGGCAGTGACTTGCCAGCTTTCCCTGGAGTGTCCAGTGGAATAACTTCTGAGTGTTATGAAATACAAGAGAGAAAATGAAAACCATATTTATTTTTTCAGACGGAGTCTCACTCTGTCACCCAGCCTGGAGTGCAGTGGTGCGGTCTTGGCTCATTGCAACCTCCATCTCCCGGGTTCAAGAGATTTTCCTGCCTCAGCCTCTTGACTAGCTGGGACTACAGGTGTGCACCACAACACCCAGCTAATTTTTGTATTTTTGGTTGAGATGGGGTTTTGCCATGTTGGCCAGGCTTGTCTTGAACTCCTGACCTCAGGTGATCCACCCACCTTGGCCTCCCAAAGTGCTGGGATAACAGGCATGAGCCACCGTGCCTGGCTGAAAACCATATTTAAAAATATTTTAAAATGTAATAAACATTTATTAAGTATCAGGCACTATTCTAAGAGCTTTCCAGATATGAACTCACGTAACCCTATGACAGTCTGCGGGGGGTTCTGTAATCAGACCCATTTTACTGACAAGGAAGCTGAGGCATAGCACATTTAAATGATTTGCCCAAGGGCACAGAATTTGGGTTCAAACTCAGGCAAAATGGTTCTAGAATCTCTATTCTTAACTGCTATGCTAAGCTGCCTCTATATTTGCTTTATATATTTTTAAAATATTACTCCTACTTCAGCTTATAACTAAAAGGACATTATAATTGCCTGTCATATTTTCCCACAGGCAGTAAACCAAGATGCCAAGTGAAGACTTCTCTATAGCATAGGGCAAAAATCCATGAGGCTAAATCCTGGTGTTCATAGTCTATGTTAATTTGAAAACCAAAAACCCATAAAACGGCATGTGGGGAGCTTCAAAAGAACTGCTGTCTTGGGAATTCTTACCAGCTTTGAAGACTTCGGGGAGGTGTGGTCTGTTTTTCCTTCTCTGGATTCTCCTCCCGGCCTCTAATCCAGAGCCTGTACATGTGGGTGAATTTGCACATGCACGCCTGCACACACACACCCACCAATGGTAAAAGCCTCTCTGGGATACTTTCAGGATCCTTGGAGTCAGGGCTCTATACAGGGCTATTTTAAAGTGTGATGGTTCACTGAAAAATGTTGTCAAACAGCAAAGTACCAATCTTTTTGAATCACTAGGTCATATTTTAGAGACTGTGAGTTCTACCCTTGCAGGAACGTGACTTTTTCACACTGTATTTTCTCAAATAGGAGAGAAGAGAATTCCAACCAGTGAGATGAGAATTGCACAAATCCTGCAGCCCATCTCTGCCACAGCTCAAAGTAAGCAACTTTTACTGCTGTATTCTTAAATAGTCCCAAGGATCAAATTATATCTCTGCTAAAACATTGTTAGGCCTAACTTCCTCACCAAGAATGTGGACTTTGGTCCGACTGCCAGGTTAAGAGGGCGTTTCTTGAAAACTTTTGTTTCTTTGTAGGCACAGTATGTGCTTATTAGATATAAAAGCTAATGGATTAACTAATTCCTTTAGCCTTTCCAAAATAGAGGTTTCATGGAACTATCTAGGCCCATAACAAATGTTTCTGTGATGAAACAAACTCAGGAAACTGTATATTTTCTTTTTCCCTTAAAGCTTCACAGAATGCATCATCTCATTAAAAGCTCCAGAAACCCTACAAAGAAGAAACCTTACCTGGTATCCCCCAAACTAAGATTGATAGATTTCCACTGGTTTGTAAAAGAGATTCTTATTCTGAGAAGTTCTCATGGCTCTTAAAAAGAAGTCACCTTCTCATTGTATAGACTTAGACACATAATTTGTACTTTTTTTTCAGATTGTTGGGTAAGTAATGACCCAGACCATTGAAGAAAATGAGGAAACTGTGCACACAGACTGATGTCTTATGTGACCAACATGCATATAAGAAATGGAAGCTTCCCCCTATCTTTCCAGAGTTCAAAAATCCTATTGCTGAATTCACCTCCAATTCCATGAAACAATATAAAAGATCCTCCATAAAGACCCCAGGTTATAATGTTTACAATTTATTTTGTACTCCTTTTCTCTGGTAATTGATGACTGCTATTATTAATGAAGACATTACAAGGAATAAAAGGGCTTGCCTGCCACTTCTCACCACAAAACCGTGTGGCATCAAACAGAATGAAATCCTTCTGACACTGACAGCTGGAGAAAACCTTGTCACCACAGTGACAGTGTCAAGTGTGGTGTGACATCTCTGTGTGTGTTTCTTTTGCACCTAATAACTTCGTTGCCAATACAGACCAAAATAATGAAAGAAAACCTGCTTTTGCCAGCCCAAAGGATTAACTGTACTGTTGAGAAAACTGCAGGAATATTTGACATGAGATCACAATTTTTAATTCTTTTCCCCCCAGGATTCTGCATGAAGTATTTTTCTATGAAGGATTTAAATAGAATTACTTTTCCTCACATTGGTCATGGAGAGAATTAAGACATTAACTGTTGATCCAATTTATACTGCCATTTGATCCCATAAGTGCTATACAGGACTCGGTTACTCATGGAAAATAGTTCCTGCCAGATCAAACACTCTCAGGGCCAAAGTCACAAGATTCTGACTTTACATGCTCTGTTCTGCCTCCTTTCATTTTGCCTCTTGGATTGTCATGAACTTCCTGAGCAAGAAGGCCATCCACCATGCAGTGTAATGTCTTGCTAAGAGAAATTAGTATTCAGTCTGCTCAGGTTCCAGCAAGGACTTTCTTCATGAAGATCTTCAAGTGGAATCAAGGTAGGAACTGTTATCCTTTTCAGTCCTTGTGCTATTCATTCACACCTTGGAACAAAAACAAAGCTGAACTCTTTAGAGGGGAAAATTGATACCGCATGGTTTCTGGTGTATCTGCAACTTTTGGCTCTGGTTTGGAAAAGGGTGTGTATGTGTCATGCACACATGTCTATTTCATCCTATCTGACAAATACCTTTGTGAATTGCTTTGTTGACTATTTGGGTGTTACTGCAGGTTACAAATTTCTAAGAGGGCTGGGAGACGTCTTTAAATCCCATAGGCATTGGATCATGTGTCCTCTAGTGGCCATGAACACTAGTTTTAGATGAAAGGTCTCATTTTCAGATAAGTATGAGGAATACTTTATTTTCAGCCCTCTCTTTTAAGAGGCATAAAATCTTTTAGTGCTGAAAACACTTGTACTACCTATAATAAAGAATTATGTTTAAGTCAGTGTGTTCCTAATTTGACTATGGAATTCAAACTTCTTGTAAGAGTCCACAGACCAGGTAAGACTTAAAGATTTGCCAACATTCAAAACCTCTGAAAAATAACCCATTACTTGGCAGCTAGGTGATCTCCCTCCTAATTTATCTGGCTCTATTTTCTTTTCTCTACCATCACCAATAGCATCTTTCTAATCCCTCACTCGGATCTTCTCATTCCTCCATTCATTAGAATACCAGTTCATTTCTTCAATAAACATGCCAAATAGGAGTGGCTCTAACAAGACGGGAAGTTTTTTCTGATGTGACAGTCTGTATATTTGCAGTCCAGGACTTGAATGGTGACAGCAAGAGGACAGAGGCTCCAGGTTCCTTTTGTTTTAGTGCTCTGCCATGTGTAGGGTGTTTCCCATCCAAATGTTCCAAGATGTCTTACCACTGTGTCTGTATTCCAGGCAATGGGAAGGAGGGAAGGTGAAGGGGAGAGAATTTTCCTTCCTTGCAAGAGCATCATCTGCAAGTTGTGTTTCTGCTCACACCCCATTGACAGAGCTTTATTGCTTGATCACAGCTAGCTGCAAACGAGGCTAGGAGATGTTTTAGTCAGTCTGGTAGCCTTTGTCACACTACAATTTCTATGTTAGAGGAGAGAGAGAGAGAACATATATTAGGGAATAGCTAACCATCTCTGCTACACCTATGACCTTCCATTTGTCTCTTACAATGAGTTTGTGAAGTTAGAATTTTTATCCCAAGTTTTCCACTGAGAAAAATAAAGCTCATAAACCTGAAATAATTTTAATATTGTCACCATGTTAAGAATGATTAAGGGTGTGAAGTTTTGTCTGCTTCCAAGCTAACAAGGGAGCCGCCACAATTGCATGGATTCTTGCAGAAGACACAGATTCCTGAGTCAGACACAGAGGACTTTATCACTCATGGCACAGCAAGCAGCATCAGCTCCAATATTCATGTAGGTTCTTCTTGTCCTCCAAATCCTATGGGGCATTAGGGGGTGGCCAAGGTAGATGCTGCAAACGCAGTCGGTTTGCACCAAAGGTGAAAAACCCCGAGCTTAGGAAACTACAAGCTTTTAAAGAGGCTATAAGGAAACCTGCCCAACTTTTTCCTTAGAAGGAAACCTTTTTTTTAGTATCCTAGTTAAGAAACAAATCTCTCTGCTTGAGAGAGGCACGCTACCTCTAACCTCCAAGAAGTTCACCATACAAATATTCTTGGAAGGCAGTCCCAAATAAAAGTCTCTTTGTTGACAAGGCTTGCAGAAACATGAGACACCCCTGGACATTTTTTTTCCCAACACACAGATAGTCTTGCTATCTTCATTACAATAAAGGTACTTCTTCAAGAAATCTCCCACTGACCATGCCTCCATCATCAGGGCAGTTCTCACTTTTTATTGTAATTGTTCACACCTCTGGATCTCCATATTGGAATATCAGTTCCTTGAAGGCAGGGGCTATGGCTTTGCTTTTATATCCCTAGCACCTAACACATTACTTGGAATATGGAACATGTTCAACAACTATTTTGAATGAAGTATATTAGAATAAGATTTACTTAAGGGATAGAACAAATCAGCAAGCATTACATGTTATTGAATCCACTTGAGGTTCTCTTTGTATGGATCCTAGGGTAGGTGGCTAATTTTTATGATTCAGGCCTCAAATACCACTCCCCTGACCACTGTATTTAAAACATCATTCTAGATAAGTCTAATGATAAGCACTTGTCACTACCTAATATTATTCTGCTTGTTTATTTAGGTATCTGACTCCCCTTCTAGAATAGAAACCCATGACTTCAAGGACTTGCCTATCTAGTTCATGACTATATTTCTATACTCTAAAATAGTGTCGGGCCTAAAATAGAAGTTTCATAGGTATTTTTGAATGAATAAGTGAATGAGTAAATTCAGCAAACATTCACTAAGTTTATACCATCTGCTAGGAACAAAATGTTTTACCATGTCACAGTGGCCCACAAAGAATACTGTTACTTTGGACAACTGAAACAATTCAATATCTGGGTTGAGTTGAGTGGCAGCATCACTTTTGTTGGGGCAGTGAGCTTCCATTCCTCACTACAGATATTCCACTGCTGGCTTGAGCTGGGTCCTGAACACTGTCCTTTCCTGGTCTTGCTGGCGAAGGCATCCTGTGCCAGCAGGCAGCTTCATTGCCTTCCTCTCCTCTCCGAGCCCCTACGTAGCCATCCTGCTTATCAGGTGCACACAGTTCTGGTCAGGTAGCCTCAGGGAGCCCATCTGATTGGCTCTGTGGGTCCCCACACCTCCAAGAACTCCATGCCTTTCATATGATGCTTAACCATTTGTTTATCCTCATTCTTACCTGGGCAGCAGGTAGCTATCAGACCCTCTCTCACCTTTCCTTTACTCTTCTTCCACCTCTACTTGATCTCCTGTAGCAGCCTTGCCCATGAAGTCATGCCTGTGGCTCCACTGAGAAATTCGATTAAGTATTCCAATACTGCTGTGAAACGAAGTGATCTGATTCCGGTGAGACAATTTATCTTGCAAGGTATATCAATACTCATTTTATTCATTATTTACCCATTTCCAAAAATGATGTGAAGTGGGAAAATGTCAATGTTGAACAACAAAAATAGTAAAATCCCTTTGGGGGGAAGATCATTATAATTTGTTTAAATGCTGACAAATATTGATATCAATGGTAAACGTAGAAGTGGGGCATGAGGGAAATTACCAGAGGGAAATGACTAGGATATTTTTCAAGCCATCATTGATTCAAAATGAATTATGAGAGTAGAGCTTTGCATGGAAAATTAAAGGCCTAATACTAAAAATAATTATTAAGCATTTTCTTACTTTTGTAGATGAAGAAGTTACCTCAGAGAAGTCAAATAATTTACCCAGAGTCACAAAATAAGCAAATGATGGAATATTCAAATCCAGGTCTTCTGACTCTACCTCTATCTGCCTTAGAGGTTTCTGAAGTATTGATAAGATGGAGGCTGGAAGAGCTTGAAACAGACCATATAAAGCCAGGTCTGAGCTGGAAAAGCAAAGAGGCCCAAGGAACAGCACAGACCCTGACTGGTGGGGTATCTGTGTATTTTAAATAACAAATACAACAAAGATTCAAGGTTCAGCATGTACCCAGATGTTTCCATTATTGATATATATATGCCAGTTTAAAATATTTAAATGGAAAACAGTTTGTGTCCACTTCATTTTAGAACTATGCCAGTTACAGGAATCACCCCAGTATCAGTTATGTCTTACTCATGTCAAAGAACCAGGGTCAGAAGAAAAAAATCTCCAGTAAAGATCCTTGCAACTCAGGAACACTCTTTCCTCTGAATACTGCTATGAACTAGAGTTAAAAGAAAGCATTTTTTAAAAGAAATGATTTATTCGTTCCTCATGATAAACATATCAAAACATCACATTGTACCACATAAATATATGCAATTATTTGGTTAACTGAAAATAAAATAAAATTTAAAAAGAAATAGAACGAACCTGAGTTAAACCCTGAGTTAAATGACTTTTTAACAAAATTCAATGGATTTAGTTTGAATTCATGTTTGCCCATATAATGAATAGAGTGTTATTTATGACAACATCCAGAAGAACAGATCTCAGGGGTTGGCTTTATTACAGTATGTTAGTTTAAATTAATTTGCCACTATTCCCTACAGTTATTCTTTAGTCTTCCCCTGAAGATTTACACACACACACACACACACACACACACACACACACACACACACCTCCTTCCAGAAATGTAAGAAATATCTTTACCCTCATCCTATCCTATCTTTAAGATGCCAACTTCTAGCTTTGTAAGTAGGAAGGATTAAAACATGAGAAAGAAAAGTAGGCCTAACTTGTCATGAAAATAAAATATATGGTCAAAGCCCATACCAAATAATAATGCCTGTATTTTTCCAGATATGAAGTTCCTCTTTTTTGCTCTTAAATGGGTTGAGAGATTGTGATAGGTAGTGGGGGGAAAAAGCATTTAGGGCCCTGAATTTTGTATTATGGTGTTTTTGCTACTAGAAAACACATGTCTCAATGGTGAATATTTTTAAAAAGTTACTATTTCAATTTAACTAGACCCTTAAAAATAATAGAGGTTCATCAACAAGTGGCATAAAGAGAGGAACAACAAACATTGGGGCCTACTTGAGAATGAGGGATGGGAGAGGGAGAGGATCAGAAAGAATAACTATTGGGCACCAGGCTTAGTACCTGGGTGAAAAAATAATCTGTATAACAAGCCCCCACGACACAAGTTTACCCATATAACAAACCTGCACATTTACCCTTGAACCTAAAATAAAAGTTAAAAACAAACAAACAAAAAACAAACCTAGAGGCTCACCTGCTTCCATTCCAAGTGAAATGTCAAAATTTGTATTCTTTTCTCCCGCTTAATGAAAGTCTGGCATTAAAAAATCCAGAGTCCACTCTAGCATTGTTGCCATGTGTTCTAATAATGCATTTTTCACACCAGCAAACTCATAGAAAGTGTGGTGAAATACTGTTTTATTTCACCACACTTTCATGAGAGCCATCCTTCACCTGGTATGAAATGACCATGCTAGATTCTGTTTCACAGCCAAAAAACATGATTATTACATTGTGTGTATGGGGTTAACCTTGATTATTCTTATTCACCACACCAAGAAATTACTCCAAACCTAAACTGATCCAGTTAATAAGACTGCAATTAAAACCAAGAAAAAAAATTATAAACTTATTTTCTAGTTCTCAGAAAATATCTGAGAAGGAAAATTGACTCCAGAGACACAAATGGCCTAATGGAATAATTAAAATTATAATTAAATAAAACCAAGTCATCCCAGGCCTACTTAGCTGTACAACTCCCTCCAGGATTATCATGTCATTAGGGGAGGGAGGATGAAGAAATCACTTTTCAGGATTTCTTAGTGTAAGAGAGTTCTCCAGACTTTCAAAGCCTGAGAAGAGACCAAGGAGAAATAAATATCAGGACAGATGAAGCTGACATTACAGCCCTGCCCAGTCATTTCTACTTTACCATTGACAGCTGTGTGGCCAAGGAAATTGACCTTGCACCCTTTATCTTTAATTTCCTCATCTCTAAAATTTCTCGGACAATAGCAACATGAATCACAGAGTTGCTATGAAGATTAAGTGTAACCAGGTATAATAAGTGCTATGGGCATATTCAGTATTGGATATCTCTATTCATATGAGGAAGACATCAAATGGTATAAAGAGTATTCCAGAACAGCTGAAGATGGTGACAATAGTGAATGCACTGAGCCAGGTGTCAATGGTAGGAGAGTTTCTGGAGAGAGTTGGAATTGCAAATTGGAAAAGCCTCCCTGTAAGCTGAATGTGGGACTCTGGGAATGGAGGGAGGAGGTGAAGCCTCAAGCAGCTTTCTCTGTCTCCCATTAAGTGCAGACCCCAGGAAGCTGGTCACTGATAAGGAGAGGGGCATTGAAAATGGGGAGAAGCCTGGTAAGGAAAAGGGTTCCCTTTGCATAGGCCACATAGTCTATTCTCCCAGCTTAGCAAGTGTCCCAAGGTTGGCCGGGTGTGGTGGCTCACGCCCGTAATCCCAGTACTTAGGGAGGGTGAGGTGGGCGGATCACCTGAGGTCAGGAGTTCAAGACCAGCCTGGCCAACATGGTGAAACCCTGTCTCTTCTGAAAATACAAAAATTAGCCGGGTGTGGTGGTACGCACCTGTAATCCCAGCTACTTGGGAGGCTGAGGCAGGAGAATTGCTTGAACCTGGGAGTGAAGGTCGCAGTGAGCCAAGACCACACCGTTGCACTCCAGCCAGGGCAACAAGAGCAAGACTACACCTCACAACAACAACAACAACAACAACAACAACAAAACAGTGACCTAAGGTCTCTAGCTTTCTATTTCTTTAAATTATTGTTTAAAAATCATTAGTGAAAAACTACCTATTGGGTACAACATACACTACTTGGGTAAAAGGTGCAATAAAATCCTATACTTCACCACTGTATAATTCATTCACGTAACCAAAACCTCTTGTACCCCTAAAGCCATTGAAATATAATTTTTAAATAAAAAAATCAAACAAATAAAAATCATTAGCTACCACACTGATTAGGATAGCTAGCCACAATGATAGAAAATAACAAATGCCGACAGGGATGTGGAGAAACTGGACCCCTCCTACACTGCTGGTGGGAATGTAAAATTGGGCAGCCTCTTTGTAGCACAGGTTGGCAATTCTTCAAAGGTTAAACATGGAGTTACCGTATAACTCAATTCTACTCCTAGGCATAAACCCAAGGTCATTGAAAACAGATTTCCACACAAAACCTTGTACAAGCATGTCCATAGAAGCATTACACATAACAGCCCCAAAGTAAAAACAACTCAAATGTCTATCATTGATGAGTAGATAAACAAAACTTAGTATATCCATACAATGGAATAGTATTTATCCATAAAAGGGAATGAAGTACTCACCTTAAAAAACATTATGCTAAATGAAAAAAGCTAGTCATAAAAGGCCACATATTGTATGATTCAATTTTACATGAAATGTCCAGAAAAGGCAAATCCAGAGAGATAGAAAGTAGATTAATGGTTACCAGGGGCTGGGGAAGGAAGGGGATAGGGACTGGTTGCTAATGTGTATGTGATTTCTTTTTGAGGTGATTAAAATGTTCTGAAATTAGTGAATATGGTCTTACAACTGTGAATATGCATATATATATATATATATATATATATATATATATATATATATATATCTTTTTTTTTTTTTTTTGAGATGGAGTCTCGCTCTGTCACCTAGGCTGGAGTGCAGTGGTGCAGTCTCAGCTCACTGCAAGCTCTGCCTCCTGGGTTCACACCATTCTTCTGCCTCAGCCTCCCGAGTAGCTGGGACTACAGGCGCCCGCCACCACACCCGGCTAATTTTTTTCTGTATTTTTAGCAGAGACGGGGTTTCACAGCGTTAGCCACGATGGTCTCGATCTCCTGACCTCGTGATCCACCCGCCTCAGCCTCCCAAAGTGCTGGGATTACAGGCATGAGCCACCGTGCCTGGCCAACTGTGAATATATTAAAAATCATGGTGTGTGCTTTAGAAAGGTGAATTGTGAATTAGATCTCAAAAAAGCATGAGAAAAAAATCAGTACCCCATTTAACAAATTATATTAAACTAAACCGAAGGCAAATAAAAGCCAAGGTTTTACAAATGCTTTAGTGAGCCTACACAAGTCATTCATTCCTGTTACTTAATTTTCCTCAACTGGAGGAAGAAAAGAACCACACTTGCCACCTACATTTGTGATAAGACCTGAGTATATTTTTTAAACATCTGTGTTTTTCAGCCAAAGGTTATATACAAATACTAGGTGTTGTTATTATGAAACTGGCAACACTGAACACTGAGTAACTTTAAATAGAGTCACCATGTGGCAGTTGAGTCTTAGACATATGCACTGCTGTTCGTTTCTCACAGCAAGTGAGTGGCCCATTTGATGTACTGTGGCTCTGAGTGGGTCATCCATGGGGGCAAAGCTTGGGAGACACATAGTTTTGAGATTCAAACCGTAGGTGATTCCTCTAGTTGTCATGGTGTCCTGAATATTAAGTTCAGTTTTCAAAACAGACAGTCCACAAAATTGTCAACTCTGATGATCCTTTTAGAAAATAACCTAGGGCATTCTTCATCGCACCTGGAAGAAGGATGGTCCTTAAGAGGGGCTGTTCACATCCCTTTTTGTGTAATCAAAAGATCTTGATTCTCTTCCTTCAGATTTCTTTCAAGGAAGTAGAAAGAATAAGATTCTGGAATGTGGAAAGGGTAACTACTCCTCTTTTCTTGATGGCGAATGTTGTTAGTTTAACCTTCTATGGAAAGAAAGGGCAATGTAGGAAGTGCAGTGAATCCTCAGTTCCAAACAGCCATTGCAAATGGTGACTGCCTACCGTTAACCCACTGTAAACAAGTGCATTTCTAACACAATAATCTCCCTGCACCTCACTTGTAATTTACACAAACAAATTTAAGATCCACACAGTGTAGAAGCCAAAGCAGGGAGACAAAGCCACTGTCTACTCTCCCCACATTCTTTGTCCCAACCCCATCCCTTGTTGCTGGGCAGGTGCACAGGAGAGAGGGTGCGTGCACCTTTGTACAGTGGAGAAGCACACACCTGCTTCCTGCACCCCCTGGTGTCTCTCAGAACCACCAGCCAGAGGAGAGGTAAAGCTGAATTGCATGTTGCACTGAAAGGGCTGGGATCTAGTGACCCATCTCTCCACTCCAGTCTTTCACTCCCTTCAACACAGCTATAGAAGTGGAAATGAAAGAGAGGCAAAGACTGATATGGAAATCTAAACATAAGCAATGAATGATTTGTATCTTTAGGGAAACTTTCTCTTCCCACATTTTCCTCTTATCTCATAGAAGAAGGAATCTCCATCATGACTCTCAGAAACACCAAAAAGGAAAGATCCACCATCTCAATTCCTCTTTACTTGCTCTTCTTTACGGAAATGGGAATAATAATCTGATTGGTTAATTTGCCTCAAATCAGCAGACTGGATTCTGCTGCTATCTAGGGTACCGGGAAGCAAATGGGGGCTAGGTTTGACAAACGCTGGATGCCTGTGTTCAGTGATGGTGGACATCAATGGTGGAAGGCTTCCAACCTTCATGCGACAAGCAGACCAAGCACTGGGTTTAACAGTTGAAGATGAGAAGCTACAAGGCAAGCAAAAACCAGCAGCCAAGGGTGAGAGTAGAGAGAAGGGGGAAAGAGGCAGCGTGGAGCTATTCTAGAATACATGACTTTTATATAGTTTATAACAGACTACCTTCAGCTGGATTGAACAAAAAAAAACTGTCTTAAAAACAGTCTTTCCTTCTCCCAAAATAAATTTGGAGATAGATGAGCCAGGAAGTATAATGTTCTCCACAATCATCAGGGAATGAGAATCTTTCTGTTTTCCACTCTACCTACTTGGCCTGTAGCTTTTGTTTTCAAGGTCACTTCAAGGTTGAAAGATGGCCACTAGAGCTCTAGACATGGCACCCTGTCCCAGGGCAATAGGAAAATAGAAGGAGCCAGAGGAAGGACACACATCCCAGCTGAACTGAAGTTACACTGGGAACCCCACCTACCAACTTCTGCTAGCATCTCATTGGCCACTTCCAGCTGCAAGGTAGATTGGGATGTGGAGTCTTATCTAGACACAGTAGTGGCCTGAATAACATCATATGGGGTCACAGTGCATTAGTAAGGAAGAAGTGGATGCCTGATGAGTTCCAGGGAGCAATCAGATTAACCACATCTGCTCCTATGGGGAGGAGAAAGCAGAAGATGGAGAGGTTAAGACTCACTCCATAATACATTTATGAGAGATCAAAAGAATTGGCAAAATTTTCTTTCTCTGTAATCTAAAGGTGAGTAGAAAATTAAGGGAGTTCTCTGAATAAATTAAGACCATTACCTCATTACAAATATGCACACACACTTGCAAAAGTAGACCCACTTTTCATGGACAAATGCCAAGAAAAGAACAAGGTTAGAGAGGAAAAGGCTTCCTTCTACAGCTATATCTTCCCGTAAAACATTGTGGAGGGTGTATGTGTGTATGTGAAAGAGAGAGGGAGAGAGAGTAATGGAGTGGTGGTACTATTTTATTCAGAGAACGTTCTTAACTTTCTATGTACTTTTACATGTATCAACACAATCTAACCCTACTGAGCTCCTATTATAAAAATTAATCACCAAGGTTAGGGCACAGTTTGTTCCTGTGAAAGGACATTCCCAAAGAACAGATGTGGGGAGGACAGCCTTTCCTCTGGGTCCTATCACTAAGTTAATGGTCAGAATTCATGCTGTGGAGTGAACAGCCCATCACAGTCTGAGGCATTACCATGGAGGATGAGCTTTAGGGAACAATGGGATAAAGACAGACCAGACAGGACAGGCCGTCCAGAACACTGCCCAGAAAAATTCCCACCACCTCTGCCAGCTCCTAAACTGCCCGTGTAGGGAGATTTCTGCTGTTACACCATCAGCTGGTTTATCTTGTCTGCATGGCATGTTGAGAGAAGGCTGTTTGGGGGCCAGCTAAGTCAGTTTCTCTAGCTGCTGAAATAGCTTTCATAAAAATAGAGTTACAAAACTAATGTTAACGCTTGGGCTGTATACTGTCTTTTTCAGAAAAATAATGGTTATTATAAACAAGGAACAGTAAAGGTTTCTGGGAGAAAATATAATAGAAAAGTTGTCCTGGCACCCTTTGGAGAAGGTAATGGGACTCTCTCATGACCTTTGTTTCAGAATTGCTTTGTAATTCTGGTAAGATAGACACTAAATTGTCATTTCTGGACTGTATAGACACACTAAATTGTCATTACTGGAAGTATATACACAAACATGCAAAAATGGACCCATTTTAAAATAAGCAAATACAAGGGCCAAAATGTTCGATTACAGGTTCATGATGGATTTTTATTTTTTTAATTATACAAATGCTTATATTTTTCTAACAACAATTTCATTCGAAGAAAAGTCAGTTGATAAATTTTAAGGTTGTATTTATTACTCCTATTGGTTTTTGAAAAGTGTTCATTCAATCTAGGTGTTTTTAGAGTATCAGCTTTTGAACTCAGGGTTCTCAATCTTGAAAGCATAATGGTAAAAGTCCTGCTTTCATTTATTTAAGTGTTCTCAGAGACTACAATTGCCAATATAAATTTGAAAAAACAAAATTTACAGTACCATCGCTTTTTGGTAACAAATACTATATGCAAATCCACTTGTAAAACTATCTTACAAGTATTTTCTTAACAATGTTCTGCAACTAGTAGTTATGTTTTGAGGTGCCCAGCAAAGGAAAACGAATCCATCCACTTTGTGCCAGTCAGTAACAACCACAACAGAGCAGCTGATGTTGTTAACAATGCCCCTATTAGCTAAGGATCAGAAATGTTGTGACATTAGTTTCTGGGATCATGTCAGGATTGAATTAGACTGACTCATCTCAGGTCCTGGTGCTCTCTTAATTCTTTGGTCAGCAGGAATTAGTCCTACCAAGCTTTATCTTGGTCATACCGAACATTGTCCTCAAGCATAAGTTAAGTAGCCCTGCTATAGGATCACATTTGTCAGAAGTTTTCTCCTCTGTGCTTGGCTAAATTCCCACTGTCCATTTGCAAAAGGAGTGGTTTATGCAATTTGATTACTTTTAAGAGCTGTCTCACCTCCAAATGCCTGCTCAAGGGAACTCAGTGACACCAACTAAGAGGCATGTGAGTGTTAAGGTTTAGAGTTGCCCGTGTTTGCTTTCTGATACAGGAATGCCGGAAGAAGCTGAGTGCTGGATGAAGGTGAAAGAGATTATCAGTACCAGAGAGCCAGCTCTTCCCTTCTTCCCCGGAAATTGAGTTGTCAGCAGCCAGTTCAAAGCAGACATGTGAGAAAATCACCATGTCTTTTTATTTTAATGGAAATAACTTAAATAGTTGTCTTGCAGGAAACATGTTTTAAAAATTGATCTTTCTGGGGTTGAGGGAAGCTGGCTATGAGCAGGGGGTCAGCCGACTTATTACTTATTACCTATTACAGTAGAGTGCTTAATAACTTTTCCTTATCTCCCCTCAAGGGGAATATTCATTAGTAGATCAGAAGATAGTGTTACTAACTTATAGCATATCCATAATCTATAGCATATATAGAGGCCAAATTTTACCTCTGATTTATCCAATTGCTTAATGGTTTTAAACCAGATTCACATGGAACCCTTTTTAAAAGCACATTGCCTCTCCATCCCAGGAGGTTGAGATTCTTTAAGTTTGGCGAGGAATCTGTATTTTAACAAGTGTATTGATAATTTCAAAGTATGCCAAAGTTTGAAACCCGCTTAGGTTAGGGACAGGTCAATATGAGAGAAAATAGTCATCTTGATTTACTCTAATAGCTTTATCATTTAGATTAAAACATACACCCAATCCGTTAATAAAAATGTTAAAATCAAGGTTTTTTAAACTCTAGGTAAACATTGCGTGAATCCTTTAGTGCTTCAATTTAGCTAAACCATAAAGTAAGTAGAAACTATGAAGATTCCTGTCTGCAAAGATGGTAAAATGCTAGTTCAAACGTCATGCCTCTGGGAAAACTCCTTGTAAATCTCATCGTCCTTTGTGGAACTCAAGTCTTCTTTTTGGTTCCTGGCTAGTAGCAAATTGTATTTACATGTTTTATCCGTGGCCACACCAATTGTGAACTTCTTGCGGGACAGACATGTTTCTATCTCCTCCCTCCTTCAACAAAGCATCACGCACACAGTAAACCCGAATAATGTGTGCTGATTTTCACTCTGTTATAGGTTTCCTAAAGTGATTTACCACTTATTTTAGAAAATTATGGACACACACAGAAGATTTAGATGAAATTACTGTAACATTTTAAATATTTGTTTGAATTTGGAAGTACATTAAACTCTTTAAGAAAAGATGTTTCCTAATCTCCAGTTATTTCTCTCAGGAAAGAAAAACACAGTAATTTGCCTAAAAGCTTACCCTTAATTTAGGTGTTGATTTAGCGTCTCCTCTAAATACAATCCCCCTTCTCTGCTGTGTAACTGTTTTTAAAAGGATTGGCAATGGATGAATAAACAACTCCTTTAACAAACATTTGAAGACCCCATCCAAACACATACACACACACAACATAAAATCTCTTTCCACATCAATTTAGTGAGCCCTTAATTTTGCTTTCTAAGCACACAATATTATAAACCACAAAACACACACAACCAGTTTAACTCCTGCTGAAATGACATGAGAAGATTCTACTGAAATGCTTAGGGAAACTGGTAATTGTGTGCTGAATTTACTATAGGCTACACCACTAGAAGAGCTATAAGTAGCAACAGTAGCAAATGTTGAGCAGTCACTTTCCTCAACTTGTCCCTGTCCTTAGGGAGCTCACAGTATGTGGCGAAGACAGATACATGAACCATTAATTACCATGTAAGGCAAAAAAAATGGCACATGGAAGAAGATGCAGCTGTGTTCTGGGAACAAGGCAAAAAGAACTGCCTGCGGTCACGTTTGACAGACTAGAAAACATTTGATCTGCCTTGAAGGATGCATAGGAGTAGGAGTTCACTCAAAGATATTCCACTAAGAATAGGCATTATGTTCATCCAGCTTGCTTTTCAGGTAGTTCAGGTTAAAACAGGCTCTAAAAAAAGTTTAACAAGAAAATATATGAACTGAGGAAGGATTAGATGCAAACAGCCCAGCCAGTACATTTAGACCACATAAAATCCAGTTATGCTCATGAAAATGCAGGCAGCAGGATGTCCAATTTAATAGGAGAGGAAGAAAAGGAAGGGCACATAAAATAGAAAGGATTTATTCATTTTCCCCAATAAAGGCTAAGCACTTTCGTAGGTTCTTTTTAATTCATGAACTTTCCAATTCATATTCCAGGTACTAATCCTGCTGTTCTAAAATAGCTGTTGTGGATAACGGGATTTTATGTAGGCCACATGTCCTTAATTTTTATTTCTGCCTCACTCAGCTCAATGTCTACTCAAATTTGTTGGTCATAAACCAGGTATTTAATTAGATTACTTAGCGACACCTAGTGACCGAGATCGGAACCAAGTGCTATTTTAATACAGTGGAGTGTGTGCCTCTGTTATTGTCATGCTTTAGCCCAAGACAGCCCTCATTATTCCAAGTTCTCTTTTCAACCCATTTCATCCCAATGATACTAAAGCAAACCCATGCCCAGTTTGGCCTGAAAAACAACTAATTAGAGAGAGGAAGTGAGAAAGAGAAGAACAAGGGAGAGAGGGAAGGAGGTGATTGAGGGAATAGGTTGGAATCACAGAAGAGACAAGATCAGCAATGAAGGCTTCTATTTTTATGTATTTATTTGGCTGTGTTCATATCAAGAAATGGAAAGAAAGGTAAGACCACCTTGAAGCAGAGAAGGAATGAGAACCAGGGGCAGTCCAAACAAAGGCTCAATTCATATTTTGTTTCTCTCTTTTCCACTTGTATTTGAAAGGGCAGAATAAACATGTTTTGATGATTTTGAAATCCAAGATAGATCCAAATTTAAATGTTTTTAAACAAAAGATAGTTCTCATTGTCATAAATTATAAAATGCCTTTCTCACTTTGCAATTCCTGTTCTTTCATCCCTGTCTATGCATCTTTTTATATCAATTTGTTTTTCCCACTAAATGGATCTATTCGGATGGAGTCATTACTGAGTTGGCATTGCTCTAAAAATAAGCTGATGATTTGCTATCTGCAGTACGTGCTGTCAAAAAAAAAATCAACCAAAGTAACAAAGCAAAATAAACATAGTAATTAACACGTTAAATTAAAAATCAAAATATAACAAAAATACTAGAAGACAATGTGAGTCACGTGACAATTTTAAATGAGTTGAAGGTGCTGATTCTAGGCAAATTCCAACCAAGGGTTCAGAGGGAATCACAAAAGAAAGTGCTGTTATACATTTTTGAGAAAATACAGAGAACATGAACAATGCTAAAGGACTGAATTCTAAAACAGATTTTTAAGAATGCAGACAAGTGAGCCCTCAACTGTAAACATGACGCTGGCACAGCCAATTAAGCAGCGGTCTTTCCCTGCTGTGGTCCAGCCCCTTTGCCAACAGTGGGGTTCACACCCTACAAGTTGAGACCCTTGCAGGCTCCGGGTCCACTGAAACTAACTGAAACATAAGGAGTGACTTGCTCCTTGGAGTTGGAATCCACAGATGATGTTATACAGACTAGCCCTGATTCTGAGGCCAGAGGTCCCAGTGGGCTCCACTGCTCCAGGGTGCAGACATGGCACTGGACCATCATTCTCCCTATTTTTCTCCCCTACCCAGTTAGCCATTATGTTTTATTGTATTTGTACAGACATTTATATAGATTTCTACCATCCCATTGCATTGTAATAATATATTGTCATGTCTGTTTTTCTTCTGTTAAACTATGACTTTCATGGGTGGAGTCACGCTGTGTAGTCTTTGACTACTAGCCCAGCCTATTTAATTGTTAATTAAATGTTAACTGAGCATCTAGTATGCACTGTGCACTGAAGTGGGCTTTGGGGATACAATGAAGAAGATGTATGTCCTGGCCTCAAACTACTTAAAATCTGGTGGAAAATACAAGGAAGACTTTACTTCATTTTGGTATGTTTTAGTAAGTGCTAAGATGGGGGTAAGCACAGAGTTCTGGGAGCACAGAGTAATGCCACTGGATTTACAGTTTGTGAACGAGTGTGGGAAGGCTTCCTGGAGGAGGAGGGGCTGAGGAAGGAGCATGGGAAGGGCATTCTGGGTAGCACAAAGCCTCAAAGACATAAACTAGCACAACATACGCTCTCACATGAGATCTAGTTGTCTGCCTGTCACTGGTCACTTCCCCTACAAGCCCATTATCCACATTGTCCCCAGAGTGGTCTTATCAACATGCAGATATGCAATATAAAGATCTTTCCATAATCGAGTTTCTTTGATGCCTCCACATTACCTGCAGAAAAAAAAATCTAGCTTTTTTTTTTTTTTTGTGAGACGGAGTCTCGCTCTGTCACTAGGCTGGAGTGCAGTGGCGCGATCTGGGCTTACTGCAACCTCCACCTCCTGGGTTCAAGCAATTCTCCTGCCTCAGCCTCCTGAGTAGCTGGGACTACGGGCATGTGCCATCACACCCAGCTCATTTTTTGTATTTTTAGTAGAGATGGGGTTTCACCATGTTGGCCAGGATGGTCTCAAACTCCAGACCTCGTGATCCACCTGCCTCGGCCTCCCAAAGTGCTGGGATTACAGGCGTGAGCCACCGCGCCCGGCCAAAAATCCAGCTTCTTAACATAACCTGTAAATCCCATCTCACCTCACTGAGCCCAGGTGCCTACTGTGGTGCAGTGCGGTACATTGTGCAAAATATTTTTGGATGAACAAATGAAAGTTGAATAAATGGCTCATGAATTGTAGACAGGATGAAAATAGCAAGAATACAAGAAGATTATTCCATTTCTATAGGCCATAATCCTCCCACATACCATCCTCACAGGGCTTTATCAGGTGGCCAAAAAACATCAGGGTAACAAACGGTCAAAACATTATTAATGATAAAAGCACACTTTAGGCTATTTCTTTCTCTGCAGCTCACTTTAGTCTGGAAATGGCTTTGAGTATCTGAAATGTTATTCGTACTTTATACTTTTGTTTAAGCTTCCATTTCTTCAGTACTTACTGCACACCATAATATCCCAGGCGTTTTTCCTGCATTTATCTTAGTAAAAATCCATAAACTAGAAATGAAGGAGGTGCTATGGAAACCTCATTTTTCCAGAGAAAGAGATGAGCATTTAGAGGTTAAGGGACTGCAGAATGTCACAGTCGATAATTGGTAGAGCAGAAATTTGAATCCAGGACTGTCTAACTGTAGCATCCATGTTCTTAAATATTCAATGTGCCGGATGGATCAGCTTGATCTAAGCCCCACGTGGATCAGGAGAAAGGGGACACTAAGGCTGTATAGTTATGACATGAGGACTTGCCCCCAAAGGAGCAGCAACCAGAATTCTAATCTCCACTGTTGCAAGCTCAGGCTCCATGCAAACCAGCATCAGTATCTATATGCAGGAGAATCCAATCCAGCAGCTGGGATGCAGAATTGGAGGCAATTCAAATATAAGCGGTCTTCAAGGTCATACTATTCCTTGGGTCACGGTTTCAAAGGACATAGCTATGTGAAGTTGTGTCACCACAGTGAACTGGGACGATGAAACCCAAGGTTTGAGACACAGAGGAAGGGGCAAGGAGTAGACAGGGAACCAGCACCACCTTCCCCACACATCATCAAGCCAACTTGGAATTCAAGGAACTGCAATAGACAGTCAGTAGGAGAGTCCAGTTCACATAGACACCAAGTACACAGGGGCTGGTAGAAAGCTGATTTAGTGGGTACCTTGGTGCCGTCATTTGAATTTATCCCCCAAAATTCATATGGTAAAACTTAATCATCAATGTGCTTATATGAAAAGGTCGGGGGGTGGATTAGTCATGAAAATAGAGCCCTCATGAATGGGATTGAGGGCTTTATTAAGAAAGATTTGAGGGAGCTATCTCTTCTGTTTTGCCTTCCACTTTCCAACACGTAAAGACTCACTGTTCAAGGTGCCATCTTAGAAGCAGAGACTAGGCCTTCAACAGACAACAAGCTTGCCAGTGCCTCTATTTTAGACTGTCCAGCCTCCAGAACTGTGAGAAATAAATGCCTACTATTTATAAATTATCCAATTTCTGGTATTCTCTTACAGTGGCACAAGAAGACTAAGACATGAGGTGAGCCAAAGTGGTTCCAAGACACCAAAATACCAAAAGCTTATGGCAGCAAAACTAATACTAACTTCCACCTGTTGAAGTGTGGCATCTACTGGTTTCCCTATCCTACTAACGTAGTCCAGAAGGATGGGATAGGGCTGAGTCAGGTTAAAGTGAAGGATTCAGCCTCTATGGCTGAGAAGGGCTAAGAAAGGCAGAGAATGACAGTGAACATTCTTGGTGTTTAGCCAGGATCTCCCCCCAAAAAAACCCATGAAACATGACGGTGAGGTTTCAGGTGGGTGTGGGAGATATTTTGGGGAGAAGAGAACTATTCTATGGTGTCCTTAAATAATATCTGTGTAAAAGGTCCTTATTTTTGGAAGACCCTCTGTTACTTGTATTTTCAACAAATGGGTCCGAAACCCTGCCATATCAACATCATATTGCACCATAGCCAGATGCTACAAACTATGGACTTTTTTTTCACTTTTATGAGCAAATGTCACAATTACTTTTTTTAAAAAAAAAGCAAGAATAATTTTCATTCCTTGGAAAAATTTGTAAAAATGTTATCAAGATGAAAAGATTCAGAACACATTTATTTGTATGCAGCACATACACTGAGGACCAAAGCATTTGCTAAAATGAAATACACCTGTAAACAAATGTCTTAGGGAGAGTTTATAGGTGGTCAACTCCACTGTGCAAGGTATGCAGCTCATACCCTCTTTCTGAATAGACTTCTGTGATAACTAAAAAGGTCCAATTTTATCTCAAAAGATGTTAATACATTTTTAAAAGGCTTGAAATGGGCCAAATTATAATTACATATATTAAAATAGCACAAGAATTAATTGGCTTCACAAAAATACTAATGGAAAAAAAAATCTTAGGCCCATCTATTAAGAGAAGAAATGTTTGACTCCTGACTTGAAATGGGGGACATAGATATTTTGGTATAAGCTTTAAAAGATGACATATTAATTTCTGGTTCTACAAAAAGACTGACGTTAACACCCATCCTATTCTGTTCTACAGAATGCTTTGGTACAACTTCAATAAATCCTTATATACTTTAATTTGAGCCATAAATCTATGTTGCTGCATTTTGCTTTTTAAAAGAGTGAAGTCTAGGGTAAAAGCCAACCCTTCAACTCTTACACCATGTATTCACAATTATGTCTTCTGAAACCATGCAAGTTACCAGCACCAATGATTGACATTAAAATTATTCTTATATTTGAGCAGCAAATTATAAAAAAAAGATGCTATGCAATTTATGATTAGCACAATTGCTAAAATTTAAAGTAGCTCAATTGCTTTAAGATATAAAATTCAAGTTCTCCCCATATTTATATACCTAATAAATACTTTCTTTAGCTTCTGAGAGAGAGAATCCTCTGTCAAAGAAGAACATACTGCAGTTTTCCTTGTGAAAAATTAGTTTGAATGTAAGTTCTCAGCTTAAAAAACATTAAATTTTAATAAATCATGGAATTTTAAAGTCAGAAAGGACCCTGGAGATCACTTAGTCCAACTTTTTTCTTTTTTTTTTTTTTTTTTGGAGGCGGAGTCTCGCGGTGTCCCAGGCTGGAGTGCAATGGCCAATCTCTGCTCACCGCAATCTCCACCTCCTGGGTTCACACCATTCTCCTGCCTCAGCCTCCCGAGTAGCTGGGACTACAGGCACCCACCACCACGCCTGGCTAATTTTTTGTATTTTTAGTGGAGACGGGGTTTCAATGTGTTAGCCAGGATGGTCTCGATCTCCTGACCTCGTGATCCGCCCGCCTCCACCTCCCAAAGTGCTGGGATTACAGGTGTGAGCCACCACACCCCGCCAGTCCAACCTATTCTTTTCGGACGGGACGAATGAGGCCAATAAAGGGGAAATGACTTGTCTAAGGTCACACAGAAACAGAGGCTAGACCCTAGCAATCTCATCAGCAAGATATCTTGCAAGCTATGTTTCCAAACTTTTCTGGTTTTATTTGCTCTCATTCATTAAATTCAAAAACATCAGGCACACAGCAATATGATAAACATAGACTTTTACTTCAATTTTCAAGTCAGAACATTAAAACGATTCCTGAGAGTTTAACTACCTGCATTTTATTGAGAATGCAGTCAAGAGTAAATTATGACTAGCTATTGTGATTATCCTCAAGTACACACATAAATTACCTTAATGTATTATACTGGGTGGCATAAATTTTGCATTTCAGGTATGTATACTGTGGCGGCTTTTATTTATATTATGCTTGCCTGTAAAGTATTATAAGCATATCACAAATTTGACCTTTAATTCCATATCTCATGTATTAATTAAAAATAATCAGGTAATTAGATACCAAGTAAATAAAATTTTAACTCAAAATGAATTTGTATCCTTTACTTTTCTGAATACTCCAGAACAGAGATATCATTCATTCTTGTTTCTTCCAGATATGCATACTACCTGCATCTAGGACATATTATAAACTTGTAAACCATATTTGAGGGTACAAGGACAAAAATCAGATGCATGTTCATACTTAACAGTCCTACATTCAACTGCTGCCTTTTCTTAATACTGAACAAATAGTAACATTTTTATTAATTTTTTTTGGTCAAAAGGTTAATATTTTCAAATTGTGTAATACAATTAAATATTAAAATAAAAACATACATTACATTATATAGAGATTTAATAGCAACCTTTAAATCCTCTTACCAGCAAAAGATAATATGTTTTATTTCCTGAGAATGGAATCTGACCTGTGCTGTCTTTTACCATGGAGTTATTTTGAATGAAAACTTGCTTGGTTGAATGACAATATACAGTTGAAATATTTTGTCACCATCAATGTTAGAAATAGCCATAAAATTTATCAAATCAGTATATAAATATGCTTTTTGAGACAGTCCTGCTCTGTCACCCAGGCTGAAGTGCAGTTGTGCGATCTCAGCTCACTGCAACCTCTGCCTCCTGGGTTCAAGCGATTCTCCCACCTCAGCCTCCAGAGTAGCTGGAATTACAAGCACATGCCACAATGCCCGGCTAATTTTTGTATTTTTAGTACAGATGGGGTTTCACCATGTTGGCCAGGCTGGTCTCGAACTCCTGACCTCAAGTGATCTGCCCACCTCGACCTCCCAAAGTGCTGGGATTACAGGGGTGAGCCACCATGCCCAGCCATAAATATACTATGAAATGCGTCAAATAGGATGGATTATAGATTGATGGGGGAATGACGGGTGCACAGGTATGTGGTAGTGCAAGCAAAGTAAAATGTTCATAGCAGGATTGAGATGGTGGGTACATTAATGTTTACTCTAAAATTCTTTCAACTATGCTGTATGTTTTAAAATTTTCATAATGTGTTGGAAAAAAAGAATCTGGGAAATAAGATAAAGGCTTAAAAATTCATGGGATTTCTTCGAAATTATTTATTAGATATTTATTGTCTACAGTTTAAATAAAAATCAAGGACGGCTTTAAGAAGTCTCATAATCCTGAAAATAAGTCAACACAGAATGACCTTTTTATGAAAAAGAAAAGGGGAGATTTTAAAATATCAAAATAATTCAGGTAAAATATATCTTGAGGTAATTCAAATAATGTGTATATTACCTGGTATTTTGAGATTATATATATTTACCTAAACTGAGATTATATATATATTTACCTGAATTCTTCTGAAACTTGATACAGATAGATATGTGTGTATGTTTGTATGTATGTACAGATGTACTAGAAGCTGCAGGGAAAGAAGAGGAGTTAGAGAAGAAGTAAAAGAAACCATGAAAGAGACTATAAATATTTAAATAGGTCTGAGGGATAAGATTTCATCATTTTAGATTAGAAAAACAACCAAAAAAGTTCCTGATATATGTTGAAGAAAACCCAGGATGGATTGTTTGTTAACTATGGCACATGCAAGATATTGGCATCAATATCATGTCCACGCATGGTATCAAGATCAATATACACGTTCCTTGTTGCTGCAAGAACAGCCTGTTAGGGTCAGGTGGATTTAATATGGATTCATTCTCCCTGCAATGAATCAGAACCACTGGTGTGGCTCTAAAAAGATAGAAACCCTGAAGGGTTTACCCTTCTAAGATTCTGATGCCATAAGTCTGAAATGAGAGTTGGGCATCTGAATTGTTCTTAATGCTAGAGGAGATTGCCATGCACAGCTGGTTTCGAGTACAATTTCCTTACCCCTTAAGATGCAAACAGCAAATTATTCTTAGTCATTAGATCAGTAGACCTATAAATTTATCTTTAAATTATTAGTCCTTGCTGTGTTCTCCCATTTTGTTCAGCTCTGCTCTTAGATGAAAGGATGTTATTTTCTCCAAGGTTCCAATAAACCATCATTTCACACACAAGGAAAACACATTTATAAGATCTAATTGTAGTCTTTTTTTCTTCCCAAAAGACTTGAAATAGAGGAGAGGAAGTTAGTCTATTGGGGTTTGCAAAGGGGCCTGGCAGAGGACACAAATAGAAGGGAGAAGGATAATGCCAATTCAGAAAACCCTGGTGGAACACTTATATCTTTTGTCATGTGAATCTTTCTACAGATTTGAGGTAGAATATCATCAGCTAGTCAGGTCCAGTACAGTGGAGGGTGGTCATGAATTCCAGCATGCCTGGGAGAGTGCTGGTTTGTGACTACTCTCCCAGTATCATTAATAATGTCTTTCACTCTTTAAAGTATCCTGGTCTTTAGACAATAGATTATATGGTCACCGTAAAGAGTGTTTTGGACTGGGTGCAGTGGCTCACGCCTGTAATTCCACAACTTTGGGAGGCTGAGGCAGGCGGATCACCTGAGGTCAGGAGTTCAACATCAGCCTGGACAACATAGTGAAACCCCGTCTCTACTAAAGATATGAAAATTAGCTGGTCTTGGTGGTGTGTGCCTGTAGTCTCAGCTACTCAGGAGGCTGAGGCAGGAGAATCGCTTGAACCCAGGGGGCGGAGGTTGGAGTGAGATGAGATCCCACCACTTCACTCTAGTCTAGTCAACAGAACGAGACTCCACCTCAAAAACAACAACAACAACAACAACAAAGGCTGTTTTGGAGATCAGATTATAAATATAAATTTGGCAAGTTTCTTAATCTTACTGAGCCTTTGTACCTTCAATTGTGAATTGTTAATGTTATCTCGAAGGTTGTTGTAAGGGTTAAATTAAATGATCAAGGTGAAGTGCCTGGTCGTGAGTCTAGCTCCCTGTGAAGGCTCAGCCATCAGTAGTAGTTAATACCTGGATGGATAGTTCAGGCTTGCAAGCCAGTCTACCTGGATACAAATGAAGATACTATCTATCACTTCTTAGCAGTGTGACTTGGAACAATTTTCTTATTTTCTCTAGGCTATTCCTCAGCTTCTTCTCTGTGAAATGGATATGAGGGGAGTCCTTGCATACAGTGTGTGTTATAAGGATTAAATAAAGCAGAATATACATAGGACTTTGAATAATACCTGGCACGTAATAAATACTCAATAAGAGTAATATATTATGATTAATCCAATAAACTTAGATTTTTAAAATAGTTTTATTAGTGGACAAAAGACTAGTGGACAATCTACTGTGTACAAAATGACATCTGACTTCATATGAAGGTGTTTCTGTGGTATAAAAATATTGACAGTAAAACAGACTTACAATATGTTGGCTTCTATTTTGACCTTTGCCATTTTGCCATTCTATTATTTCACTTTCATGAATTATAGTTATTTTTGCTCTCTTTTTTGTTTTGGTATGAGTGGTCAGAACCTGTTCTAGTTTGTTCTGTTGCTGTCATTGTCTTAACTTCCATTCTGAGCAGGTAGGACCACAAAATTAGACTGGGGCATGACCTTCGGACTGCCTTCCTGATGAGATGAGGGGTTGGGGAAGAACCGAAAGAGCATGGACCATGTGTTAAAACAAGACAACTTGCTCAGAAGTTAACAAATAGGAAAACATTTGTTTCAACTGCAGATTCCAGTCTAAAGGAGCTAGAAGGTAGCAATGTAAGTACCAGGCTTGGGGTGGTAGGGAGGAGGGAGAAGGAGGCTGGTAAGTTTTTATGAAAACCTCCAATCTCAAAATAATAAGAGCTATCTATGACAAACCCACAGCCAATATCATACTGAATGGGCAAAAACTGGAAGCATTCCCTTTGAAAACTGGCACAAGACAGGGATGCCCTCTCTCACCACTCCTTTTCAAAATAGTGTTGGAAGTTCTGGCCAGGGCAAATAGGCAGGAGAAGGAAATAAAGGGTATTCAATTAGGAAAAGAGGAAGTCAAATTGTCCCTGTTTGCAGATGACATGAATTGTATATCTAGAAAACCCCATTGTCTCAGCCCAAAATCTCCTTAAGCTGATAAGCAACTTCAGCAAATTCTCAGGATACAAAATCAATGTACAAAAATCACAAGCATTCTTATACACCAATAACAGACAAACAGAGAGCCAAATCATGAGTGAACTCCCATTCACAATTGCTTCAAAGAGAATAAAATACCTAGGAATCCAACTTACAAGGGATGTGAAGGACCTCTTCAAGGAGAACTACAAACCACTGCTCAAGGAAATAAAAGAGGATACAAACAAATGGAAGAACATTCCATGCTCATGGGTAGGAAGAATCAATATCGTGAAAATGGCCATACTGCCCAAGGTAATTTACAGATTCAATGCCATCCCCATCAAGCTACCAATGCCTTTCTTCACAGAATTGGAAAAAACTACTTTAAAGTTCATATGGAACCAAAAAAGAGCCCGCATCGCCAAGTCAATCCTGAGCCAAAAGAACAAAGCTGGAGGCATCATGCTACCTGACTTCAAACTATACTACAAAGCTACAGTAACCAAAACTGCATGGTACTGGTACCAAAACAGAGATATAGATCAATGGAACAGAACAGAGCCCTCAGAAATAACGCCGCATATCTACAACTATCTGATCTTTGACAAACCTGAGAAAAACAAGCAATGGGGAAAGGATTCCCTATTTAATAAATGGTGCTGGGAAAACTGGCTAGCCATATGTAGAAAGCTGAAACTGGATCCCTTCCTTACACCTTATACAAAAATCAATTCAAGATGGATTAAAGACTTAAACGTTAGACCTAAAACCATAAAAACCCTAGAAGAAAACCCAGGCATTACCATTCAGGACATAGGCATGGGCAAGGACTTCATGCCTAAAACACCAAAAGCAATGGCAACAAAAGCCAAAATTGACAAATAGGATCTAATTAAACTAAAGAGCTTCTGCACAGCAAAAGAAACTACCATCAGAGTGAACAGGCAACCTACAAAATGGGAGAAAATTTTCACAGCCTACTCATCTGACAAAGGGCTAATATCCAGAATCTACAATGAACTCAAACAAATTTACAAGAAAAAAACAAACAACCCCATCAAAAAGTGGGCAAAGGACATGAACAGACACTTCTCAAAAGAAGACATTTATGCAGCCAAAAAACACATGAAAAAATGCTCACCATCACTGGCCATCAGAGCAATGCAAATCAAAACCACAATGAGATACCATCTCACACCAGTTAGAATGGCAATCATTAAAAAGTCCGGAAACAACAGTTGCCGGAGAGGATGTGGAGAAATAGGAACACTTTTACACTGTTGGTGGGACTGTAAACTAGTTCAACCACTGTGGAAGTCAGTGTGGCAATTCCTTAGGGATCTAGGGCTAGAAATACCATTTGACCCAGCCAACCCATTACTGGGTATATACCCAAAGGACTATAAATCATGCTGCTATAAAGACACATGCACACATATGTTTATTGCGGCATTATTCACAATAACAAAGACTTGGAACCAACCCAAATGTCCAACAATGATAGACTGGATTAAGAAAATGTGGCACACATACACCATGGAATACTATGCAGCCATAAAAAATGATGAGTTCATGTCCTTTGTAGGGACATGGATGAAATTGGAAATCATCATTCTCAGTAAACTATTGCAAGAACAAAAAACCAAACACCGCATATTCTCACTCATAGGTGGGAATTGAACAATGAGAACACATGCACACAGGAAGGGGAACATCACACTCTGTGGACTGTTGTGGGGTGGGGGGAGGGGGGAGGGATAGCATTGGGAGATATACCTAATGCTAGATGATGAGTTAGTGGGTGCAGCGTACCAGCATGGCACATGTATACATATGTAACTAACCTGCACATTGTGCACATGTACCCTAAAACTTAAAGTATAATAATAAATAAAAATTAGAAAAAAAGAGAATTGCTTGAACCCAGTAGGTGGAGGTTGCAGTGAGCCAAGATTGTGCCATTGCACTCCAGCCTGGACAACTAGAGCGAAACTCTGTCTCAAAAAAAAAAAAAAAGAGAAAGAGATATTGGAAATAACTTTCAGATAGCTAATGCAGTTATTTGGCAGTATCTAAAAATAAGTACAAGAAGGGTTTATTACATCTCCTTCCTCTTCCTTTATATCCATTTATTGGCTGTGTGACCTTAGGAAAGTTACTTAATTTCTGTCCTTCATATTGCTGGATTTTTTAAAATGATTTTTAAAGAACAAGATATGTCATCATAACCCTATGTTAAGAATTAATATGTTTATGTTTATATTTTGTTTTCAAATGTGAAATATAAAACATAACATAAATATCCCAAGATTATGAATAAATCTCAGTCTTTTTCCAAAAAAAAGAAAACCTCCAAACTAAGTTTATATCTAATGTTTCCATCCCTTGATATAGTAAAATAAGATGGTAGGCTAATGGCACAGAATGAAGTAGTGCTAATTTATTCACATGGGTGTATCTCTGCAGGGTCAAGTGGAAAGCTAATAAATTAAACACGGTACTCTAATCTGAATGTTTGTGTCCTCCCCAAATTTATATGTGGAAAACTAATCGCCAGTGTGATTGTGTTCAAAGGTGGGAAGCCATTGGGAAATGATTAGATTATAAGGCTGGAGACTTTGTGAATGGGATTAGTGCCCTTATAACAGAAGCCCCAGAGAACTGCCCTGTCTCTTCAACCATGTGAGGACAAAGGGAGAAGGCAGCATCAATGAACCAGGAAATGAGCCCTCCCCAGACACCAAATCTGCTGGTGCCTTGACCTTGGACTTCCCAGTCTTCAGAACTATGAGAAATACGTGTTTGTTGTTCATAAGTCACCCAGTTTATGGTACTTTGTAATTCAGCCCCAGTGGACTAAGACACATGGCATTAAGTTGTCTAGCAAAAAAAATTTTGTTAGTGCACACTGAACTATCAATATAGTTACTTCTACTGAATCAAAGAAACATGTAAACTCTAACTAGTTTATTAAATTGCTGAAGTTGGTAAGATGCAAACAGAAAGCAACTTTATATTTCTTAAGTAATCTCTCAACTTGGTCTTCCCCAACCCTTGATGAAATCTTGGTTGCTCTAAGAAATCTCATTTTTCAACACACACATACACATCCAATCAGCGTAATATGAAAATTTCAAACTCTCACCCAATTTAAACCTTTTCTCTTTCCCTGAGCTGGGTCTGCTTCATGCTTGGAAACCTGCCAAGGGGAAGGGGTGCATATAAAGCTTGTTAGTTAAGGTTCTGGAACAGATAAATCCTGAAATACAGTGGCTTGGCACAATGAAAATTTAGTTTTTCTCATAAAAAGTGGAACCAGCTATAGTGGGATAAGGGCAACTCCACCAACTGCATGCTGCTGGAATTCTTGTGACAGGAGAAAAATAACTCCCTATTATTTTAGGTTATTAAAATAACCAGAAAGAAGAGATCACACTGTATTAACAAATAATGTGGTGGAGACAAAAGGACTGGACGGTGGTTTTGTTTTGATGTATTTTATTATTTTGTTATTTTCTGTTCTGTTCAGAAGGATGATTATTCAACTGAAAAATTATGGTAAAAGCATTTTTTTGGAGCAAATCAAAAATCAGAATAAGTGGCAAGATTGTAAAGAACACTCATTTGCCTTAGATGCATCAAAGTTTTTAAGTCTAGGGGAATTACCCAAAATATACAAGAGCGTTCTGATAGAGCCACTCAACCACCCTTTGTTGAGAGCTCAGCCGGAAGCCGAACCGTTACAGGGCCTTTGTGTCTGGTTTGCCCCCCGTGCTGGAAGCACCTATGCCCCACAACATCCTCATCCTGCTGGCTAATTAGTAACTTAGACCTAGGGCTCTGCTGAGGGTACGTCTTCTCCAGGAAGCCTTTCCTGACTCCCAAGGCTGGTGGAGAGACTACTGCTGCACGTTTCCTGAGCACTGACTGCACTGTCCTCAAGGGACTCATCACTAAGCCTTGACTGTAAATTAGCTGTAAGAGGACTGGACCTCAGTCCCTGTTGCATCCCCTGGGCTTGGCATAGTGCCAGGCACTATTGCAACTTAAGTGTTCAGTAAACATTTCTTAAATCAATGAATTAAACACATTATTGTATCCTTCTCGATCCTTGCTCATAGAAGAGTTTTCCTGCTCTAAGGCCAAAGCTAAATAAATCATTTTGTCTGAGCACGGAGGCATAGTCTGAATAGTAGTATACAGAGATACCTGGAAGAAGGAGTACAAAAATATACTGTCCTGAAAAAACCACTTCGTTAGGTCCAAAGCTGCAGCAGTGATATCTGGAAAAATATTCAATTCTTATGCCACTCAATACTCAAACAACCAATACACTGCAATAGTTTCCCTTAACCAAGCACTTACAGTTTGTCAAGACTTGTGCTAAAAATTGTAAAGTTTTAAATCCTAACAGTCCTGAAAGATGAAAATAATTCTCTCCCATTTTACAGTTGAAGAAACAGGCTCTGAGAGATAAAACGACCCACCCAGGACCTCACAGATGGCAGCTTCCAGAGGTGATCCTCAACTCTTGCACCTTGTGTTGGCTTCTTAGGGCTGCAGTGATAAAGTACCACAAATGGGTGGCTTATAAAAACAGAAATTTATTCTCTCACAGTCTGGAGGCTAGAAGTTTACAATCAAACTGTTTCTCCCTGAGACTCTAAGTAGAAGCCTTCTTTGCCTCTTCCTAGCTTTTGGTGGTGGTCATCGATGATGGGCATTCTTTGGCTTGCAGCTATGTCTTTCAAAGCACTGCCTGTCATCACGTGCCCTTTTTCCTGTGTATCTGTCTTCACATTATCTTCCCCATAAGGACACCAGTCATATTGGATCAGAGCCTACTTTAATGACCTCATCTTAACTGATTACAACGGAAACGATTCTATTTCCAAATAAAGTGACATTCTGGGGTACTAGGGGTAGGACTTCAACAGTGTGGACAGAGTTCAACCTGTAACACACCTATCTACTATTATACTTCTTCTCTGAGAAATGTGGGAGTGGCATGATTTTCTTAGTATTGAGAGCACAGAAAACAAATTGTTATGAAGGGGCGCAACAGAATAATAAAGTAGAGGGAATCCTAAAAAGCACATCTAAACACCAATTGCATTATTCCTAGTTCCCATCATGAAATTTCAGTCAATAAAATATATTCCTTAACCTATTTCCATCTTAATAAGGATGCTACTGCCACGACAAAGTTTAACAGAAGCAAAGTCTTACACTTAAAAAAAGGTTAATTTTTACATTAGGGATTTGACTTCATTATACAGAAAAAAATGTTAATTTGATCAATGTAAGGAACAAAAGCAGATGTGAGTTGGGTTTCATGCAGCTAATTGTCTAAGTTTAATCAAAAGATTATGTAGTATTTGTTGGCAGCAGTGGTAGATGAAGCCAGCTATTCACATACAATTTGTGCTTCCTCTTCCAGAGTGTGGAGTTGCCACTCAGAGGTTACATTACTACTCACCAATGGGATGTGAGTTGAAGTAATGTGTCACTTAAAAGTTTCATACCCTCATTTCCCATCCATTGGTTAGAGGTGAGAACGTCAAAGATGTAGAGGCTTAAGACAAAGGAGTGCCCTAAATTAGTGTGTAAAGGAAAACTGCCTAGCAACCGGGACACATATTGGACCATTAGGTTAGGTAGAAATAACAGGTTAGGGTTTATGTGTTATAGCAGTTAGTGCTATCCTAATTAACACAAAAAGATATACCTTATAGAGTATCACTACAATTAAAAATATTATCTTGGATTAAAGGTCAAGTGTATGCAATGAGAAAATGGATAATATAAGCTGGAAAAAAATGGAAACTAGTATTATACAGAGACAAAATATTTGGTAAAGTTGCCACGTGTCATAATTCAGGCAGACCATGTGTCTACTGCACATGTGGCTTTAAGAAAAGTTGTTGAAAAGAGTATTAATATAGGGTATTTTTCTTTCTACTTTTAGCAAGATATTATAAACAAAAAAAAGACCTTCAGCAAATCAGCAAAAATCGGCTCATTTGAAATCACAGCTGGACATATGTAACTTCACAAGGAGGAAAAAGCTAACTCCTAAAATCTGAGAAAAGAAGGACTGAAAAATAAAATCTTAAGAGGCCTATTAAGATTTCTCAGTTGAATCAAGTGATTCAGTCCCAGGGCAAAAACCAGCATAAGGCTATTTCAGTCCCACCCAAGCCTGTTCTTTCAAATGCCTCCAAAGAAGCTACTGTAAAGTTGAAATACAGGGACACAGGGAAAGGAAACAGAAAAAGCAGACATGGGAATCTACCTTTAGGAGATAATTTGGGATGTGATTATTGGTACATGGGACTGACTGAAAACAGATTAAAAGCCTACTATATTTCTGAGGGATTTTACTGCCAAAGACATCAGTAAAATATGTATTAGTCTGTTCTCACACTTCTAATAAAGACATACCTGAGACTGGGTAATTTATAAAGAAAAAGATTTAATGGACCCACAGTTCCATGTAGCTGGGGAGGTCTCACAATCATGGCAGGTGAAGGAGTAGCAAAAGCACATCTTCCATGGCGGCAGGCAAGAGTGTGTTCAGGGGAACTGCTCTTTATAAAACTGTCAGATCTCATGATATTTATTCACTGCATGAGAACAGCACAAGAAAACCTGCTCCCATGATTCGATTACTTCCCACAGGGTCCCTTCCAATGACATGAGAATTATGGGAACTACAGCTTAAGACATTTGAATGGGGACACAGCCAAACCATATCATAATATGTTGATTATTTGAGTCTTAAAACCCACTGGACCTCAAACTTCCATAGGGAATATATACAGTGAAAGCACTGCAAATCCTGTAGAGAGTATCCTTCCCAATGCCGACTTCATAAGGCCAGGGAAAATACCAGAAAAGAAAGATTTTTCATAAAATGGAGCCAGGCTCCACAGAGAACAAATGAGAGGAATTTTTCTCCCTGAGATTCAGGATCTGACCTAGGAACTTCTCTCCCCTTTAGGCTACCTCCTACATTCTTTCAATATGTCTCTTATTTTGGGAAAACTCATGTTCAGCTTTTTCTGGTTCATCTTATACTTTCTGTTCCATATTAAAATCAGCCCTGAAATCACATATTGTTCCAAGGAGGCCGACTTTCTCTTAATGGGGAATAGCTTTCAGTAATCAAGATTTGGTGTGGTGTGCTCATTGTAATTGGAATGATTTTACTTCTAGACTCTTTTATAGACACCCAGGGTTGAGGGGGATGAGACTGAGACACACACACACACACACACACCCCTATTTTTCTACATCTATTATTTCCCTGGATGATGCCATCTCAAGAGTTTGTATTTGTAGTGATGGTTTTTGCTGCAGCTCTGGGAACTGGCTCTAGATATCAAGAGGCTCTCGATATCTAGAGCCAGTTCCAAATGTTATTCAGTAAGGTTATATTTGACCTGTGATCTGAGGGACTCTGATCTCAGGGACTGTGGAAAGCTTGGGGCCTAGGCTCCCTCACCTAGGCTATGATAGAGACCTCTGGTTCCTCTCTTTTATATCATCCTTCAGGATGAGGAAGATTCAGGTCTCAGAATTCCTCAGATGGGGTGATATGCTTCCTGAATCCAACCCTTACGTAGCCACAGATATCAGTCACCAGGTCAGAGGAGCCATATCATGTGGGTGAGTATAGGATCCCCGAGTTTAGTTCTTTTTGATGTAGATGATTTTCTTCTGTCTTCTGACTTGCAGCTTTGAGATATACATATATAGCCACCACATATATTGATACTATGTACCAGGCACTGTTCTAAGCCATGTATCAATTAACTACTAGTTAATTTAATCCTCGCAAAACATTATGGATATCACGATCACTATTTTATATATAAGTAAACTGAAATAGGGTTAAGTAACTTACTCAAGACACATAGGCATTAAATAGAGAAATGTGAAATCAAAACTAGACTAGGTGACCCAAGCCATTATTCTAAACTTGTATGATATGCTATCTCACAGGTAACTTTGATTCTTTTCTTTTAGGGGGTATCTTGTTTTTTCTGTCTGCAAGCATACAAATTTTTCTTTTCCTTCTTGTGGCTCAAGAATTTTGCTATAATATGCCCAGGTATGCTGTTTAGTTTTGTTTTTCTTACCAAACTTACTTGGAATGTAGTATCTCCTTTCAAACTACGAATTCAGGTTTATGTTCAGTCTAGAAAATTTTCATCTATTACCTGTAAAATCATTGTCTCTTGCTTATCTTTTACATTTGTCTCTTTGTGGAAAACCTATTATTCTTACTCTAAGTCTTTGCACCCATCTATGTGTTTCCTTCATCGCGTCTGTCTCTACATTTTTGTTCATTCATTGAGGGATTTCTTTTACTTGGCATTTATGGTCACTAATGCAGATATCAACAGACTCCATTCTTTTCTTCAATACACCTATTGGTTTGTTTCTTTGTTTGAAAATCATGCTTTTTTTAGTTCCAGAAAACTTTTGAGATGGACTATCTGCTCCGATTCCTCAGGGATCTGCAGTAGTGCTCTTTCTCTGGGCACCTACCTCTGTGGTTTGGTCTTTCTCTGAATGATGGGACCACATCACTATATTCTTGCCATTTCTTTTCTTGGCTCATTTAGGCATATGACTGATATTTCTGGTACCATAAGTGACTGTTGTTCACCTTGTGGAAGGCAAAGCATTTTCTAATTTTAGGGACAGAGAAGGGAACCAGGAGGAAGCCTCTCTGCCCTCTGTCCTCACACAGTAAAGGCCAAGCCCACCTGCTTAGTTTTCCTTGCACCTCTTGGGGATTAGCAAGAACAAACATACTCACAGTATCAGTGCCAGTTTTACCCCTGGGAGTACACAAATTCCTTAGGGTCCTCTGGTTCTAATTCTTGCCCTAGGGCTCCCCAGTAAAGGTTTAGAGACTCCTCTGATGCTCAGGGAGAAAGATCCACACTTGCTTCACGAAGGGTATCACCTAGAGCCCAAGACCTGCCACTCTGATCTTGTGGATAGATGGAACTAGGGATAGAGGGAAAGTACGAAATGCTTAGGTTGTCTGCCATGTTTCCATTATCTGTCCTTATATTCAAAACAACTGAAAGAAGAAAAAACGTAATTACTATATTCAATATAGTTTCCCCAATATCAAGTTTTCATGCGTCTATTATTCAAACATCTCATGAAATTTCATTTTTACATTTTTAAAAATATTAACCAATTGGAATATTCTAATTATGAATTTGACATACATACCCAAACATGTATAATTTAGCTGAAGATAATTGTGAGGGCCAAGGTCAAAGAAAAATGTGCAGGAGGAAGAGACTGATTTCAGGGGGTTTTTGCTTCATTCAGTTCCTCAATAACCATATACCATTGATGTAGGCATCCCTTAATATGTAAAAATGGTAACTTTTACAGGCACTAGTAGATCAAGGCAGGGCTTAATAGCAAAAATTGAGCCGGGGTAGAGTTGAGATTCTCTTGAAAATAAAGAAGTACATCAGGACAACCACTTGGACAGAGGGTCTCTTAACTGTGTTTGGAGATTAATTAAGTTAGGGTATATATGTTAGGCCAAAGTTCTCCTTAGAAAACATTTACTGAGTAAGCTAGAGGTAAATGAGAAATCAAAGCCATAAAGTTCTATATCATGCTCATAATTTTAACCTAAAAAAATGTTAAGAGAAATATAAGTAGACAACCACTCTGGCTACATAAAATCTCAATGAAGCACCCATAGAATTCTTAACTTTAAAAAATGATACTTCCGGATTATAGTCTCTAAGATGAACCGTTTACAAAATGTGCATCACAGAAACCAAATGAAATTGTTTTCTCTTTGTCACCTTATCAGAAATGTCTTTTCTGACCACCCTACTCCTTTCTCAGCTGTTCTTTGTTCCTTGTGCTTATCACCATCTGATACATATGTTTACTTGTTTATGTGTCAATGAGCAATCTCCTCCCCAGTTGATTGTAAGCTGAGAGCAGGGACTTTGTTTCACTCATTGCTGCCTACCTAGTGCCTAAAAGAGTACCCAAGATATGATAGATAATAAATATCTACTGAGTCAACGACTGATGGACTGATTGACTGACTGAATTATTTCTATGCTAGGCAAAATCTACTTGGTATCTTCACAAATAGTGATTTCAGTTTTGGAATATTTGATTTGTAACATTATCTTCTTGAACTTACTAAATTGCAGGATCATTCACCTATTAAATCCACTGCTGGATTTAGATATTAGACCCTGTCTTCTGTTTATAAGGAAATTTGTATTTTTACTCTTATTGAGGTGGGTTGGGCCCAAAGACTGGGAAAGTACACATCAAGTTATCAAAAAAGAACTTCACTTTTTTATTTCTTTAATTAAGAAATAATTTTTATAAGGGGAGGCCAGAATTCATTCATATTTTCCCTTGTTTGAAAATATTAAATTATCCATCCAGAATTCTTCCTCTTTCTCTTCCTATTCTTCCTCTCTCTCCTTCCTTTTTGAGATCTCAGACTAACGGACATTACTCCATTGATACATCTTAACTTCATCTTTGTAAGAGGTGAAGATAAAGTCCTATTTTTAGTATAATTTACTTCTAGCGTAAACTTTTACTGTGCACAATTCTATATCAAAATTGCACATTATTCCAAAATTTTAAATACTCTTTTTAGTGTAATAAAGTATCTCTAACACAAAATAGCAGTTAATGTCAAAGTCTTACGAAACTGGATGATTAGACCGTGTTCCTCAGAACATAGTTGTAAGATCTGAGAGCTATAGAATAGTAAACAAAAAAATGAAAACAGAACATGAGCATCTGCAGGGCTTGGTTTATCAATGTCATTTTCATTAAAGTCTCAGAAATTTCAGAGATATAAGCAGTAAGAAATACAGATTTAATTATTTCATAAAATATGCAGATTTATTGCATCTACAGTAACACTACAGTAATACTATTATGCTCAGTAAATGACAATGTTTCTTTAAAAAACAGTAATTTTATGCCAAGTTAATATTTTGAAGGATCTCTCTCCTTTCAATTCTTGAAGTATTTGTGGGTTAATGACATACCAACTCAGTGAATACACTTAGGACACTTATCCGATAATTTCTAAGGCAGTGAAAGTAGCTGAAAATGTTGCCTTCAGAATTAGAAGGTGGGGGACTGAATCCTGTTTCTGCCACCCATTTGCTATGCAATCTTGGGCATGTGGTTGAACCTTTATGCCCCCTCTTTTTCCCATCTGTTCAATGGGGGTTCAAAAGCAAAAGTAAGAAAAGCACTCACAGTACTGGATTGTATTGTTCTGAAGATTAAGAATTAATCCATCTGAAGCACCTGAGACAATGCCTGGCACATAATGGAACACAGTATTTTCCTGGATTCCTTTGACTTTCCAAAAGGAATCAAAAGGATTTCTGAACTACAAAATACTGGATTATCAGAACTAACTGTATCTGCTTCATAAAGTTTCATGGAGCATAATAGATTCTAGTTTAGGTTAACTGGCTTTGGTTGCGTTTCTATTTCCACTTAATTTCTTAAGTTGTTCTACATGGCTCTCTGGAAAGCAGGAGTGACACTTCCATTCTACCATATGATTGGCAAAAGTCTTCTGTTCTAGCCCTTGACTGAGTAGATTCCGCTTAGAACAAGGATGTTTTGTCCTTGTTCAAAAAATATATCTTGTACAGCTTAAGACTAGACCTCTAACAGAATCACTGATTTATTAATTTCTCCTTTGGCCAATGGAAAGAAAAGCAAAGTTTGAGGCTCTTGTCTCACCTCAAAGAAGTGCATTTTATATTTCTTCAGAGCTTTCAGATACCAATTTCAATACATTCTTCTCTGACAAGCAATTAACATGCAGTGTTTTAAGATTAAAGCTTAACATTCCACAGGAGACAGTGTTTAACTCTAGAAGGCCAGCTTTCTCCCAGGGGACCTCTTACCAATATCTTTGCAAGGACATATTCATGGTAACTAACTAGAGACCTAGATTTTGTTCTTGTGAATGCTACTGACCTTCAATTTCACTAAGAAAGTATCCTCTGAATAGCTTTATGTTTAGAATTCTGTTCTCTTTTTATACCTGCAAAAACAGTGCTCTTCTCTGAGCAGAGCCCCCTTTACAAAGGGTTAACTAGTATGCCTTGTAGTTTTTAGGCTACAGAAATAATTTTATTTGCTAGATTTATTCAGAAATACAGTTTCTAAAGATATCTAAGACTCAGTAAGATAAAATAAAGACTTTTAAGGAAGGCACATTAAAGCTACTCCTCTCTGCTTCTATATTTTCCTTGTCTTAGAGTATGCGTCTGCTGGTGTGCCATTGGTCTGAAATAGGTCATGTGGAGAGAGGAAACTGAAATATTTACCATGGAGCTGACCAATGATATACTTTTTAGAGGTGATGCATGAGATGTTTTCTATTGCTGACCCAAGCTACTTCTGCCTCTTCTTTCCAGCTAACAGAATCCCAATTTGTTCAGATAGGGACCTTCACCAGGGATGAACTATGACTGAGCTAAATAAACCAGGCTTTCTAATCTCATCCCTTTTGGAAGTAATTGGTCTGATGATGAGCAGGTGACCTAGTTCAACTGCAGATGGAGACACCTGGAGAGGACTTCTTTTCCTGACTAAAAAGACAAAGCTGTGCAAAAAGGAAAGATTTAACTTTCTCCCCTTCTTTCTTCCTGGAATATGGCTCTGGTTCCTGAGATGCAGCAGATGTTTTGTGACATGAGCAAAAAGTCCAAGGATGAAAGGTAAAGATGAAGATGGAAAGGCCCTGATTCCTTGGTGGGATCATGGAGCAGTTGAACCTACTCCAGCAACTGTCTGCCACTGGAATTCTCGTAATAGAAGAAAAATAATCCCCTATTCTATTAGGTTACTGAAGTTTGGTTTGCTGTTTCTTGCGATTGAATGCCTAACACAGATGGGCTCTCCTGAGGTTTGTTGTGAGACTCTATTGCTAACATAATAAGCAATCTGGGTGTCTTCATTTGGGTTCCCTCAATAACAGACCTTATGACAAGGATTAGGGTGCAAGTGGTTCATTTGAGAGGCAAAGGAAATATCAATAAGCAGTTAGGGAAGTGAAACAGAAAAAAGCAGCCAATAAAGGGTGCATTATCAAGCCAGCTACCACTGTGAAGAAACTCTACAAACCAACGGAAAACACATGCCTCAGGGGTAAAGGAGCTAGGGTATTTACATACCAACTCATTTATTGGTTGAGGAAGGCTTCCAGGGAACATTAATACCCTGGCATATCTGTTTACCATATAGGAGGCAAACTGGGCTTTAACAGTCAGAGAAAGCCCTCAGGAGAAGAAATGCAGGCACTGATCATTGAAAGTCCAGCTAGCACGCATTGAAAAACTAGGAGATATGGAAGGACAATCAAGAGCATCTGCTGCAACTAATGAGCTGCTGTTACAGGCAAATACAGGTATTGAGTTAACAACTATAATCGCTGCATTCATCTCTAATAAGAGACATTTTAAAAGTACCTTACAGACACGTGTCTCCCTGCTAACTCCAAGTCTAAGTATAATCAGACTCCTCCTTCCCCAATAAATCCCCATAAACGTGCCTCAAAAGTCATTGGCTATTTCTTCCTGAAGTCAAAATTGATGGTAAAATAAAAAAGGTATGCATTCAACATGCCCTTTGGCTCTGACTTATGTTGGCCAAGGAAGGGAAGAGGATTGGGATTTAAGTGAAAGGTGAACAAACAGTATTCATCTTCCATCTGTATTTAGTCTCATATTTCCTCCCTATCCTTCCCATCCTGGTTTCGAGAAGTAACACCTGCCGGGCACAGTGGCTCATGCCTGTAGTGCCAGCACTTTGGGAGGCCGAAGCGGGTGGATCACCTGAGTTTAGGAGTTTGAGACCAGCCTGACCGATATGGTGAAACCCCGTCTCTACTAAAAATACAAAAATTAGCCAGGCATGGTGGTGTACACCCGTAGTCCCAGCTACTAAGGAGGCTGAGGCAGGAGAACTGCTTGAACCCAGGAGGCAGAGGTTCTAGTGAGCTGAGATAGCACCACTGCACTCCAGCCAAGGGACAGAGATTCGTCTCAAAAACAAAGTTACACCCTACTCTGTTTTAAAAGTTTTCTCATTTCTCTTCTCTTTCTCCACCTTCCTGCAATACATTCATAAGACCTGACTCACCTGTCTCATAATTCCTACTCCACGGTAAAAATAAAACATTATGATATGCTCCATGTGTTAGTTCATTTTCATACTGTTATAAAGAACTGCCTGATACTGGGTAATTTATAAAGGAAATAGGTTTAATTGACTCACAGTTCAGCATGGCTGGGGAAGGTCACAGAAAACGTACAGTCATGGTGGCAGGTGAAGGGGAAGCAAGACACCTTCCTCACAAAGCAGCTGGAAGGAGAAGTGCCGAATGAAGCGGGGGAAGAGCCCCTTATAAAACCATCAGATCTCGTGAGAACTCACTCTCTATCATGAGAACAGCGTTGGGGGAACTGACCCCATGCTTCAATTACCTCCACCTGGTCTCTCCCTTGACAGGTGGGGATTATGGGGATTACAATTCAAGATGAGATTTGGGTGGGGAGACAAAGCCTAACCATATCATTCCACTTATGTTTTATTGGATTTACATATTTTTTGGAGGTGGGTTAATATGGTTGATAAAAGTAGCACTGGACTAGAAATTTTGCAAGACCCAAATTCTTGTAGCAAATGTATAAATATTCTAGCTGAAAGAACATGTGCAATGCACTTACCTTTTCCATGGCTCGGTTTCCAGATGAAGAAAATTCAGGGTTTGACAAAACCACCTCTAATGACACTTCCTACTCTGAAGGTCTAATTCTTCAATTGACTTGGAGCCTGGCTGCTTCTGTCTATGTTGTGTTTATTTTATTACTCAGGTTATTTCCTCCTAGAAGGCTTTCTATGGAGCTAGTCTAACTAGGCAGTGAAATAGGAAGCTAGCCCCATGATCCTCTTGAGATGAAACTAAGGGAAGGAATCCTTTCCTCAAATTCAAACCCTACTGCCTGTTATTCTACCAGTATAGTTTTATTTTATCATGTAAAGGCTTTGCCAGTTTTACTAAGTATCATTTTGGAGAATGCGGATTACTCTTTAATGAACAAATATCGGATCAATTAACACTATAGCAGAAAATAATGGGGGTGGGAAGGGTAATGACAGGTAGGGGAATAAAGACCAGAAGAAAAAAATAAAGAATGAGGCTAAGGGGGAAGATAGAGGGTGTGGAAAGACGAACTTTGCTTAATTTGTCATTTTATTCTGCCTGACACCTCCTTTATACAATGTCCAGCATAGCCCCAAGTCATGTGCGGGTGAGTGATTTTGATGGGATAATGACATGACACTTTTAGTCAATGGTATTTATGGAGGACAGAATTACTTGGGAAGAATGAAATTAAATCAAAACGAAAATACATTAAACTCCTTTTGTTTCAGAAATAGAATCTTATTTTCATGCTGAATGGGTCAGCATCCATACTTTGAACTTTTAATAAATACACGAAAATGTAAAAAACATAACTTGCAACAAAATTCTACATTTGTTAGCTTTAAAGTTATTACCAAGCTCTCACCTTTGCTTATATAACACCTGTCATTTTTCAATCTAAATCAGCCATATGTGCTTCAACGGAGAATAGCCTGCTATTTAGAGCTTTCCAGCCATTATCACAAAATCAGACCACCACTCAGCACGCTGTCACTCAGACAGAAAAGAAATGCCATCTTATCTGTGCAATTTGTCACCCGAATGCTCTGAAGCTCCTTTGCTTCACAGCTAGGGTGCAAGTTAATTCATCCAACAAGCCAGACATCATTTTCCTAAAAAGGTCAGCTTGATACACTCAGAGACCACAAGCATGTATGCAGCAAGCTTCCAACAGCCACCTTGATATCTTTCCAGCACCGTCACATTTGCACATGATATAAGGAACTAGCTCAAGAATTGGTGGTGAGTCTATGGGCTGCCAGATTCTCCTATCTGTGCTGAAAGAAACAATGGAATGTCTCTTGGATCCAAGTTCTACTCAAGCAGTTGGTGTGAATTTTCAGTTGGCCTCTGTTCCCCAACTATAGCCTGAAATCTTAGAAACATTTGTTTCAGCAGGACAGCTGGTTCTTCAAGTAAGAACACTCTTCAGCTCTATGATCATGAACATGACATTTCTTTTTCTTTTTAGCATAGCCCATCTGGATTCTTTACACTAAGGCAAGAGGCAAGCAGAAGACAAAGAGAGAAAGCAGAGGACCTCCGGGAAAGGAAGCCCCCTTTTCAGTCGGCCTAGGCAGAAGTAGATTTACTCTGAGGATTCACTCCAAGGGTGAAGTTTTAAGGGTGCTTCACTTGCTCTGGTTTCATAAATAAATTTTGATCTTCTTAAATACATTTGGATTAAATTTTCATGTTTTTTTCTAAAAGAAATTGTACAAACCTGAGGACCCATGAACTTAGTTTCACCCCTCCTACTGGGGAAGCCTAGCAACTCCAAATGGCCTTTGTCACCATCTGATTCTTAAATTCTAATTTCCACATTGTTGTGTAAAAACAAGAAGCTATAGATAACAGTTGAGTTGTAAAGTTATCTGGTGTACTTTATTATTAGCAGTGATTGATGTGGATAATGGACAATCTGGAAAATCCTGAATACTTAACAAACAATATTATTTATATCTATCCATTTTACTTTACATGCATAGATGGAGGCTTTTAAAGAGTGTTACTTGTGAAACATGTTTTTAAAATTATTTTGTCCTATCTTATGTTATTAGACCCCTGAGAACTCAAGTTTATAGAGATTAGCAATATGATTTTTATAAATATTTTTAAGTACTTACCTCCCAGACCATTGTAAATGGGATGGGCCATAATTACAAATTTATCATTAAAATAAAAAGAATGTTAAGAAGCATATAAAAATTACACAATCCCAATCTATCTTTTCACAGATTGACTGTCAAATGCATTCTGATGGGAAAATGAATAGTAAAAAAAGACATAATATACTGACATTGAGCATATTTTATATTGAACAAGACTGTTTAAAATTCTTCACATAGCATGTTCAGGCTGCATTTTAATTAAATGCCATGCAGAAGTGCTCAGCTTTTGAACCATGTAATATTCCCAGGACAATAGTAAATTTCCAGGGAAAATTTGAACTGCTAAAAAGTTATTTCTGAAATTGTCCTCTGTTATTTATTATTTCAATGTAATGACCTTGCCACTCAAAAAAATCCATTAAAATATTTTTCTCTCATAAGTGATAACTTTATTTGATAGCAAATATCTTGACAACATAATAAAAACTAATATTCACATCACATCATGTTATTTAAAATTATTTTCACACATACTTTGACTCATTTAAACAACATATCAACCCTATCGGTTTTATTTTTTATTTTTGTATTTTACTTTAAGTTCCAGGATACATGTGCAGAACGTGCAGATTTGTTATATAGGTATACATGCGCCATGGTGGTTTGCTGAACCTATCAACCCATCATCTAGGTTTTAAGTCCTGCATGCACTAGGTATTTGTCCTAATGCTCTCCCTTCCCTTGCCCCCCAACACCCGACAGGCCCTGGTATTGTTGTTCCCCTCCCTGTGTCCATGTGTTCTCATTGTTCAACTCCCACTTATGAGTCAGAACATGCACTGTTCAGTTTTCCGTTCATGTGTTAGTTTGCTGAGGATGATGGCTTCCAATTTCATCCATGTCCCTGCAAAGGACATGATCTCATTTTTTTTACGGCTGCATAGTACCACATTCTCTTTATCCAGTCTCATTGATGGGCATTTGGGTTGGTTCCATGCCTTTGCTATTGTAAATAGAGCTGCAATAAACATATGTGTGCATGTGTCTTTATAATAGAATGATCTATATTCCTTTGGGTATATAGTCGATAATGGGATTGCTGGGTCAATGGTATTTCTGGTTCTAGATCCTTGAGGAATCGCCACACTGTCCTCCACAATGGTTGAACTAACTTACATTCCCACCAACAATGTAAAAGTGTTCCTATTTCTTCACAGCCTCGCCAGCATCTATTGTTTCTTGACTTTTTAATAATCACCACTCTGACTGATGTGAGATGGAATCTCACTGTGGTTTTGATTTGTGTTTCTCTAATGATCGGTGATGTTGAGCATTTTTCCATATGTTGGTTGGCTGCATAAATGTCTTCCTTTGAGAAGTGTCTGTTCATGTCCTGTGCCCACTTTTTGATGGGGTCATTTGTTTTTCTTGTAAATTTGTTTAACTTCCTTATAGATTCTGGATATTAGACCTTTGTCAGATGGGTAGATTACAAAAATTTTCTACCATTCTGTAAGCTGCCTGTTCACTCTGATGCTAGTTTATTTTGCTGTGCAGAAGCTCTTTAGTTTAATTAGATCCCATTTGTCAATTTTGGCTTTTGTGGCAATTGCTTTTGGTGTTTTTGTCATGAAAGTCTTTGCCTATGCCTATGTCCTGAATGGTATTGCCTAGGTTTTCTTCTAGGGTTTTTATGGTTTGGGGTTTTATATTTAAGTCTTTAATGCATCTTAAAGTTAATTTTTGTATAAGGTGTAACAAAGGGGTCCAGTTTCAGTTTTCTGTATATGGCTAGACAGTTTTCCCAGCACCATTTATTAAATAGATACTCCTTTCCCCATTGCTTGTTTTTGTCAGGTTTGTCAAAGATCAGATGATTGTAGATGTGTGGTGTTATTTCTGAGGCCTCTGTTCTGTTCCATTGGTCTATATGTCTGTTTTTGTACCATGCTGTTTTGATTACTGTATCTTGTAGTATAGTTTGAAGTCAGGTAGCGTGATGCTTCCAGCTTTGTTCTTTTTGCTTAGGATTGTTTTGGCTATACAGGCTCTTTTTTGGTTACATATGAAATTTAAAGTAGTTTTTTCTAATTCTGTGAAGAACGTCAATGGAAGTTTGATGGGAATAACATTGAATCTATAAATTACTTTGGGCATTATGGCCATTTTCACAATATTGATTCTTCCTATCCATGAGGATGGAATGTTTTTCCATTTGTTTGTGTCCTCTCTTATTTCCTTGAGCAGTGGTTGGTAGTTCTTCTTGAAGAGGTCTTTCACATCCCTTGTTAGCTGTATTCCTAGGTATTTTATTCTCTTTGTAGCAATTGTGAACGGGAGTGCATTCATAAATTGGCTCTCTGCTTGTCTATTGTTGGTGTATGGGAATGCTTGTGATTTTTGCACATTGATTTTGTATCCTGAGATTTTGCTGAAGTTGCTTATCAATTTGAGGAGCTTTTGGGCTGAGATAATGGGATTTTCTGAATGTACAATCATGTCATCTCCAAACAGAGACAATGTGACTTCCTCTCTTCCTATTTGAATACACTTTATTTCTTTCTCTTGCCTGATTACCCTGGCCAGAACTTCCAATACTATGTTGAATAGGAGTGGTGAGAGACAGCATCTTTTTCTTGTGCTGGTTTTCAAAAAGAACAATTTCAGCTTTTGCCCATTCAGTATGATATTGGCTACATATTTCTCATAAATAGTTCTTATTATTTTGAGATATGTTGCATCAATACCTAGTTTATTGAAAATTTTTAGCATGAAGGGATGTTGAATTTTATTGAAGGCCTTTTCTGCATCTATTGAGATAATCGTGTGGTTTTTGTCATTGGTTTTGTTTATGTGATGGATTATGTTCATTGATTTGCATATGTTGAACCAGCCTTGCATCCAGGGATGAAGCCCAGTTGATCATAGTGGATAAGCTTTTTGATGTGCTGCTGGATTCAGTTTACCAGTATTTTATTGAGGATTTTCATATCAATGTTCATCAGAAATATTGGCCTACAGTTTTCTTCTTTTGTTGGGTCTCTGCCAGGTTGGTATCAGGATAATGCTGGTCTCATAAAATGAGTAAAGGAGGAGTCCCTCCTTTTCAGTTGTTTGGAATAGTTTCAGAAGGAATAGCACCAGCTCCTCTTTGTACCTCTGGTAGAATTTGGCTGTGAAATCATCTGGCCCTGGGCTTTTTTGGTTGGTAGGCTATTAATCACTGCCTCAATTTCAGAACTTGTTATTGATCTATTCAGGGATTTGACTTCTTCCTGGTTTAGTCCTGGGAGGGTGTATGTGTCCAGGAATTTATCCAATTCTTGTGGATTTTCTCATTTATTTGCATAGAGGTGTTTATAGTATTCTCTGATGGTAGTTTGTATTTCTGTGGGGTCAGTGGTGATATCCCCTTTATCATTTTTTATGGTGTCTATTTGATTCTTCTCTCTTTTCTTCTTTATTAGTCTAGCTAGCAGTCTATCTATTTGGTTAATTTTTTTAAAAAACAGCTCCTGGATTCATTGATTTTTTGAAGGGTTTTTGTGTCTCTATCTCCTTCAGTTCTGCTCTGATCTTTGTCATTTCTCGTCTTCTGCTAGCTTTTGGATTTGTTTGCTCTTGCTTCTCTAGTTCTTTTAATTGTGATGTTAGGGTGCTGATTTGAAATCTTTCCAGCTTTCTGATGTGGGCATTTAGTGCTATAAATTTCCCTCTTAACACCGCTTGAGCCATGTCCCAGAGATTCTGGTACATTGTCTCCTTGTTCTCATTGGTATCAAAGAACTTCTTCATTTCTGCCTTAATTTTGTTATTTACCCAGGAGTCATTCAGGTACAGGTTGTTCAATTTCCATGTAGTTGTGTGGTTTTGAATGAGTTTTTTAATCCTGGGTTCTAATTTGATTGGACTGTGGTCTGAGAAACTGTTTGTTATGATTTCAGGGGATTTTTTTGTATTTGCTGAGGAGTGTTTTACTTCCAATTATGTGGTGATTTTAAAATAAGTGCCATGTGGCACTGAGAAGAATGTATATTCTGTTGATTTGAGGTGGAGAGTTCTGCAGATGTCTATTAGGTCCACTTAATTCAGAGCTGAGTTTAAGTCCTGAATATCCTTGTTAATATTCTGTCTTGTTGATCTAATATTGATGGTGGGGTGTTAAAGTCTCCCACTATCATTGTGTGGGAGTCTAAGTCTCTTTGTAGGTCTCTAAGAACTTGTTTTATGAATCTGGGTGCCCCTGTATTGGGTGTATTTATATTTAGGATTGTTAGATCTTCTTGTTGCACTGATCCCTTTACCATTATATAATGCCCTTCTTTGTCTTTTTTGATCTTTGTTGGTTTAAAATCTGTTTTATCAGAGACTGGAATTGCAACCCCTGCATTTTTTTTTTCTTTTCCTTTGCTTGGTAAATTTTCCTCCATCCCTTTATTTTGAGCCTATGCATGTCTTTGCACAGGAGATGGGTCTCCTGAATACAGCACACCAATGGGTCTTGACTCTTTCTCCAATATGCCAGTCTGTGTCTTTTAATTGGGGTGTTTAGCCCATTTACATTTAAGGTTAATATTGTTATGTGTGAATTTGATCCTGTCATCATGATGCTAGCTGGTTCTTTTGCACACTAGTTGATGCAGGGTCTTCATAGTGTCATTGGTCTTAAAATTTTGGTGTGTTTTTGCAGTGGCTGGTACTGGCTTTTTCTTTCCATATTTAGTGCTTCCTTCAGGTACTCTTTCAAGGCAGGCCTGGTGGTGACAAAATCCCTTAGCATTTTCTTGTCTGGAAAGGATTTTATTTCTCCTTCACTTATGAAGCTTAGTTTGACTGGATATGAAATTCTGGGCTGAAAATTTTTTTCTTTAAGAATGTGAAAATTGGCCCCACTCTCTTCTGGTTTGTAGGGTTTCTGCTGAGAGATCTGCTGTTAGTCTGATGGGCTTCCCTTTGTAGATGACCTCACCTTTCTCTCTGGCTGCCCTTAACATTTTTTCCTTCATTTCGACCTTGGAGAATCTGATGATTATGTGCCTTGGGGTTGATCTTCTCATGGAATATCTTAGTGGTGTTCTCTGTATTTCCTGAATTTGAATGTTGGCTGTCTTGCTAGGTTGGGGAAGTATTTCTTGAATTTGAATGTTGGCCTATCTTGCTAGGTTGGGGAAGTTCTCCTGGATAATATCTTGAAGTGTATTTTCCAACTTGGTTGCATTCTCCCCATCTCTTTCAGGTACTCTAATCAATCATAGGTTTGGTCTTTTTACATAGTCCCATATTTCTTGGAGGTTTTATTCATTCCTTTTCATTCTTTTTTCTCTAATCTTGTCTGCATGCCTTTTTTCAGCAAGATGGTCTTCAAACTCTGATATCCTTTTTTCCACGTGATTGATTCTGCTGCTGATACTTGCGTATGCTTCACGAAGTTCTCATGCTGTGTTTTTCAGCTCCATCAGGTCATTTATGTTCCTCTCTAAACTGGCTATTCTAGTTAGCAACTCCTGTAACCTTTTATCAAGGTTCTCAGCTTATTTGCATTGGGTTGGAACATGCTCCTTTAACTCAGTGGAGTTTGTTATTACCCACCTTCTGAAGCCTACTTCTGTCAATTCATCCATCTCATTCCCGTCCAGTTCTGCGCCCTTGCTGGAGAGCTGTTGTGATCATTTGGAAGAGAAGAGGTGTTCTGGCTTTTAGAATTTTCAGCATTTTTGCACTGGTTTTTCCTCATCTTCATGGATTTATCTACCTTTCATCTTTGAGGCTGATGACCTTCGGATGGTTTTTTTTTGGGGGGTGGAGGGTGCTTTTTTGTTGATGTTGTTGTTGTTGCTTTCTGTTTGTTAGTTTTTCTTCTAACAGTCAGGCCCCTCTACTGCGGGTCTGGTGCAGTTTTCTGGGGGTCTACTCCAGACCCTGTTCTCCTGGGTATTACCATTGGAGGCTTCAGAACAGCAAAGAATGCTGCCTGTTCCTTCTCCTGGAAGCTTCATCCCAGACGGGCACCAGCCTGATACCAGCTGGAGCTCTCCTGTATGAGGTATCTATCGACCCCTGTTGGGAGTTCTCTCCCAGTCAGGAGGCACGGGGTCAGGGACCCGCTTGAGGAGGCAGTCTGTCCATTAGCAGAGCTGTTGCACTGTGCTGGGAGAATTCTGTAAGCCCCTGACTAGAGCTACTGGATTTCCTGTAGAGATGCCCTGCCCAGTGAGGAGAAATCTAGAGAAGCAGTCTGACCATAGCCGCCGAGTCCAAACCTCCCAATCTCCTTAGCACTGTCGGGGAAAACTGCCTACTAAAGCCACATAATGGCAGTCACCCCTCCCCCACCAAACTTGATTGTCCCAGGCCGACTCCAGACTGCTATGCTCACAGTGGGAATTTCAAGCCAGTGGTGCTTAGCTTGCTGGGCTCCATGGGAGTGGGACCCACTGAGTGAGACCACTTGGTTCCCTGGCTTCAGCCCCCTTTCCAAGGAAGTGGACGGTTCTCCTGTCTCACTAAAGTTCCAGGCACCACTGGAGTATGAAAAAACTCTTACAGCTCAGTGCATGCCTGAACAGCCGCCCAGTTTTGTGCTTGAAATCCAGGGCCCTGGTGGTGTTGGCTCATGAGGGAACCTCCTAATCCATGGATTGCCAAAATCTGTGGGAAAAGTAGTACTCTGGGCAAGTAGCACAGTCCCTCACTGCTTCCCTTGGCTGTGGGAGGGAGGTCCCCTGGCTCCATGAACTTCCTGGGTGAAGCAATGTCCCACCTCGCTTCTGCTCATTCTCCGTGGGTTGCACCCACTGCCTAACCAGTTCCAGTGAGATGAACTGGGCATCTCAGCTGGAAATGCAGAAATCACCTGCCCTCTGTGTTGGTCTTGCTGGGAGCTGCAGACGGGAGCTCTTTCTATTTGGCCATCTTGGCTCCTCCCCACCCATCAGTTTTATTACCCTTGGTTTTCAGATAAGAACATTGAGACACAGAGTGGTTAACTAGTACTAAATTTTAAGTCACAGGGTCAGAATTACACCATTCCAAAACTTTCTTTTTCTTTTTATGAAATAATGTTAAAATTTATTAGTTAAAATACTTGATCTCCAATACGTTCTAAATAAAAGAAACAAATTGTTATGTTAACAGTTAAAATGTGAATCCTACCCAAAAACACGCTGTTCTAGTTTTTGAAATTGAACTCTCCACCCTGATAACTGTTCTTTCTCCAATTTCAAAAATGAGACCAATTTTCATCAATCTTTGCTATGCAACCATTATTGCAATTCCATGGAGAATGTGTCCATTTTCTCCTGCATTATTTCTACCACATATCAGTACCTAATAACCTGTTACTCCACCCCCATAAAAATCCCAGTGTCCTAAGGGTTTGGCCTGTTCTATATCATGGTCAGCCAGTAGAGCATTTCTTTCCTTTAACCCACAGTGCCCTCCTGTGAGGAGAAAGGCACCCTGAACACAATGAGCACGATGAGTGGCATCATCATTTTATTTTGTTCTCAGCCCCTGCCAAATGCTCTCTCATTCAGACAATATTTAATTTTCAAAGGCAGAGTCCTTCTTCTTCCAGGAACTTGGATAGAAACAATCCTCACCTAATGAAATGGGTCATCTCATACAATTGGTTCTTTCCCAGAGACCGTAAGGAAAGACCTGTGATCACACATTTGATCCATTGTCACCCATTTCAGTTTCTTGCTATTTGCACTTGCCTCTCTACAGTCCAAGGCTCTTTCCCTTACTCCAACATGGAGATACTACCCAGGTCAAAAAGAGAGATTCCCAGGAAGATAAAGTTCCTTTAGTTCTCCAACATCACATCTCTGCATAAACCCCTCTGAGTAGAGTCTCCAGGCATGGCCACTTCTCCCAAGAGGATTCTATGGCCACATCCCTAAATGTCAATGGTCCCAGAGTAGGAGTCATCCCTGACTCCTTTTGTTTTCTCTTCCTCCTCTTCTAGGCTTCTTCCTGGTGTGGAGAGGGTGGTGTGGGGATTTTCAGATCCACAGCAATGCCTGGGTGCTGGGTATGGAAACAGGGGATGGTGAAGCGCAGGTTGAATCTAGACAGAGGGACACTCAAGCTCCCTGGTGTCACCCTCACTCCATGCAATTCATTTCCAGGACTATCCTGAAACTTTCTATTAAACCCCAAACCACCTTTTAGTTACATTATATACGATCTCATAGTAAAAATATAAATTTTCAAAGCTTGCCACCATAACCACTCTTGACAGTTCTTCTATAAGACTTTTGTTACTGTCCCTTCATTACTCCAAATAGCAGGACTCAAAAAATAACTTTTATTTCTAATATCAATAGAAAAGTATCAAATGAAAAGAGCTGGGAAACATACAACCAAAATAAATACTATGTAACTGATATGGTTTGGCTCTGTGTCTCCACCCAAATCTCACCTTGAATTGTAATCCCCATAATCTCCATGTGTCAAGGGCAGGACCAGGTGAAGGTAATTGGATTATGAGGTGGTTTCCCTCATACTATTCTCATGATAGTGTGAGTTCTCATGAGATCTGATGGGTTTATAAGGGGCTCTTCCCCTTCACTCTGCACTTCCTCCTGCTGCCTTGTGAAGACGGTGCCTGCTTTTCCTTTGCCCTCCACTGTGATTGTAGGTTGCCTTAGGCCTCCCCAGTAATGCAGAACTCTGAGTCCATTAAACTTCCTTCCTTTATAAATTACCCAGTCTCGGGCAGTTACTTACAGCAGCGTGAGAATGGACTAATACAATAACGATTCAAAATTATGTTTTTAGTAGAAAGGGTAGAATGGGGAGTTATTGTTCGATGGGTACAAAGTTTCATTTTTTTCAAGATAAAAAGAGTTCTACATGGATGGAGCTGGAGGTCATTATCCTTAGCAAACTAACAGGAACAGGAAACCAAATACTGCATGTACTCACTTATAAGTGGGAGCTAAATGATGAGAACACATGGACACGTAGAAGGAAACAACACACACTGGGGCCTACCAGAGGGTGGAGGATGGGAGGAGGGAGAGGATCAGGAAAAATAACTAGAGGTGCTAGGCTTAGTACCTGAGTAACGAAATAATCTGTACAATAAATCCCCACGACACAAGTTTACCTATATAACAACCCTGCACATGTACCCTTGAATTTAAAATAAAAGTTAAATAGAAGAAAAAAAAGAAAGAAAGAAGAGTTCTAGAGAAGGATGGTGGAGATGATTGCACAACAATGTGAATGTACTGAATGTCACTGAACTGTACACTTAAAAATGCCTAATATTTTCGGCATTTTATTCAGGTATATTTTGTTATGTGTATTTTAACACAATTAAAAATAACTTATAAAAGATAAACAGATTAAAATATTGAACTCATGGGGAAATAGGATTAACTACTAAGGGTACTGTCCCATAAATGTAGTTGTTTACATTTGGCTTGTACAATTAAAATGGACTTTCATTTTTTAAAAATTTAATGACTTGGGAAAATACTCATGATGTAATATTAAAGTGGAAAAAAACACAAGATACAGAACTGTATAGAACAATGTTGGTTGGAATGTCAACTAGTACAGCCACCATGGAAAACATTACAGAGATTTCTCAAAGAACTAAAAATAGAGCTACCATACAATCCAGCAATCCCACTGCTGACTATTCACACCTCCAATAAAAGGAAATCAGTATATCAAAGAGATACCTGCACCCCTCTGTTTATTGCAGCACTATACAGAATAGCAAAGATATGGAATCAACTAAATTGTCCATCAAGAGATGAATGGATAAAGAAAAGAAAATGTGCTATTACATGTACGATGGAATACTATTCAGCCATAAAAAGAATGAAATCATGTCGCTTGCAGCAACATGGATGGTAGTGCAGGACAATATGTTCAGTGAAATAAGCCAGGCACAGAAAGACAAATATTATAGGCTCTCATTCACATGTGGTAGCTAAAAACAAGTTTATCTCAGGGAGGTAGAGAATAGAATGATAGATACCAGAGGTTGGGAGGTGTGTATGTGGAGGCGGAGGAATGAAGAGAGGCTGGCTAATGGCACAAACACACAGTTAGATAGAAGGAATGAGTTCTAATGTTCAGTAACAGAGTAGGGTGACTGTAGTTAACAATCATGTACTGTATATTTCAAAATACCTAGAAGAGAAGACTTGAAATGTTTCCAACACATGGAAATGATAAAGAAGGTGGTAGATATTCTAAATAGCCTGACTTAATCATTACATATTCCATATATTTAACAAAATATCACATTTTTAATAAATATGCACAAATACTATATATCAATAAAAACTATAAACAGCAGTATCACAGACTTTGTTTTCTTAAAAATTTGCACAAGTGCTCAATAGGGATTGGGAAGAAGAGGCACCAGAATAATGGTGGTTATTTCTGGATTAAGAATCAACCAAATTTTTCTGTAAAAGTTCAGATAGTAAATATTTTAGGATTTGTGAGCTGCATAAGGTCTGCAGAGAGGGGCGTCCCTCTAATTTTGGCTATATCTTGTAGATCAAAGTTCGTGTTCCCTGTACCCTCCTAGAAGGTATAGACAACTCAGTTTATTTTTTAGTTTACATTAGTTTATTTTTGTCTTCTTGAACCTCCCAATAAAACTCTGATTCTCCTCAACAACTTTCTTGCTTTTTTACATTTTTTGTTATCAGTCCTCATTTTCTACTTCTTCTATTGATCCCAATACAAGTGATCAGAAATTCTTGTACCCTAGAACCGAAATGTCTGTGCTTGCCAATCAAGTTTTACAAAGGTATTTTCCTGAATATCTGAATTCCTGAAACAAAAATGTGACAGGAATGGAGGAAATACCTTCTTTGAGACCTTTTGGGAACATGAGAGTGATCATCATGGTTTTGTGGTGATGCTAACCAAGCAGTGGCAGAGCTTTCCCATGTCGCCTCTGCAGCAGCAGGGGGTTTAATTACAGCTCTGAGTAAGTCAGGAGTCATCTGACTTGGACGATGACTAGGCCTTTTACTCACAGTTTCCACAGACATTTTAAAATATTAATCAAAATAATAGAGAAGATACTTATCTAGACTACCATTTTTGACAAGTCATGGCTTCTTAATTATTCAATTCTTATTCTTCAGAGGAGACAGGGAGAGTTGCCTGAATTAGCTCCTAAGTGTATCACCTTCTCCTATGCTTTGGTTGTGTAGAATCTGCCCTAATTAAAAATGATTCTTGGAAATGCTTCTGGGATCAGAGACTTTGAAGCGGATTGCATTAATATGAAATAAATTAAAGCAGCTGCCAACTAAAGATATGTTCCCATTTGTCTTTCTCCTTGACCATTCCATTCCCATTAAAATCAACTCTCAATGCTTTTAAAAGAGTTTGTTCCTGGCCTTGCTTTTAGAGAACATGCCCTTTGTTGTTGCACTCTGAAAAGATAGGGAGGAGGTATTCAAGGATAAATCGAACAAATGAATCAGCCTTGTATTCCAGCAGGCATGGGGGCAGAAAAGCTCCAAAGTACATGGAGAACACTCTAAGCATAGTCAGATGGGCTGTGCTCAGGGTTTTACAGACTCATTCACAATTTGGAAGTCATTATCTCAAGCACATCTCTGTTGTCATCTCATTAAATAGCAGTCTCATGCTCTCTATTTTTCTTTTTTCTTTTTTTCTTTTTTTTAACTTTGCATTGCAGCTTTGAAAGGAAAGTCAGCTTTATCACCAACAGATATACCTATAGAATGCAATGCTTTACTGACTTTCTTTTCAATTAATCTTGGTTGTGCTGGCCTAGTGGGGCTGTGTTCTCTGGCGATGCTCCAGGGGTCTCCAGGACTGACCCCATCTACCTGTCGTTGCTTCCTTGGTGGTTTGATGATTTCCCTCTGGTTTTTCCTGGCAGCGGCTGCTCTCTTAATTGAAGCCACCTGTTTGGTTGCATGTCCTCCATTCCCCAAGAGGAGCTGAAACTCCACATGGTGCTCCATTGTCGGCTCACCGCTGTCTATATTTGAATTAGATTGCAGAAGAGGAGCACAATGTCAGCCTGAATCCAAATTGATCCTGCTGTGAACAAGTGTATATACGTATTGCCCTGTATTACAAGTGTGCCTTGATTTAAACAAATTGAAGTATGCAAAAGTATAATTTTAAAAACTGAAATATCCAAGGTGATAGTTCTTAAGAACATACTCTTTGAGGCTGAAGGAAACTTAGAAGCCACTTAATTCAACCTTTTATCTAATATATAAATTCCTCTTATAACATCCCCTATAAGTGGCTCTCAAGATATTACTTGACACATCCAGTAATAAGGTACATATTCTCTCAAGAAGTAGTCCTTGCCATTTTCAGAGAGAGAATGGAATTTCCCCTGTGTGTCAAACTAAAATCAATCCTACTCTATTTAGCTCGTTTTCTTAAATGCTGACACCTGCAACCACATAGAAAAAAATTTCTACCCCAAACTTCAACCATTTAAAGACAACTATATGGCTCCACGAATATTTTTTTCTCCAGGATATTTGTGGAGTGTTATAGTTTTCAATATTGTCTTATAATATCACGATTTGCAGATCTTTCCTTCCTTCATCATACTGTTTTTTTTTTCTTCTTCAACAAAATTGTCTCTCTTAAGGTGTGGATCTTAGAAGAAAATCAGTAATCTAAATGCTTAGTGTAGAAGGGAGTTATCATTTCCCTTAACCAGAAACTGTCTTCCATGATCATGGTCTAAGATCTTGTATTGGTTAGAGAAAGCCATGTGTGTTGCCTGCTATAGTTTGGATATTTGGCTCTTCAAACCTCATGTTGAAATTTGATCTCTAATGTTGGAGGTGGAGCCTAAAGAGAGGTGTTTGGGCCATGGGGGCAGATGTCTTCTGAATGGCTTTGTGCCTTCCTCCTGTTAATGAGTGAGTTCTTGTTATATTAGTTCCCAAGAGGGTTCTCCGAGAGCTGGTTTTTAAAAAGAGCTTGACACCTTCCATCTCTCTCTTGTTCTTTCACCATGTGACCTCTGCACACCCTGGCTCCCCTTCACCTTCTGCCATAAGTGGAAGCAGCCTGAAGCCCTCACCAGAAAGCAGATGCTGGTGCCATGCTTCTTGTACAACCTGCAGAACCGTGATCCAAACAAACCTCTTTTCTTTATAAGTTACCCAGCCTCAGGTATTCCTTTATAGCAGTACAAAGGGACTAAAACATTGCCCCAACAAACAAACCCCCAAAACTCAACCATGGTAACAGTTTATTTGCTCAACCCCCCCATTGGATGAGAGTCTGAAGACCATTGTCCATCTCATAGCCAAGCTATTAGGTCCCCATGGCTCCAAGGGTCACTTGGAGTTGTGGAAGTGAGGACTGGAGTGTCGCTCTGATTTTAAAGGCCAACTCTGGGTTACATATTTCATTAGCTAAAACAGTAGATTTCCATGAATTTCCAGAAAGAGGAAATGCTATGGGAGACACATAGCTTTGTCTCCACCACCGATCTTATTAGCTTTCTTGCCATTGCAGCCTGAAGACATCTTTGAAAACTGGACCCAGCTTATCTACTATCATTCTCACTTAACATGATAATAAATTTTATACCCACAGGAATCCTTATAAGTCAATATTATTATTTTCATGTTATAAATGAGGAAACTGAGGTTTAGAGAAGTTAAATAGCACAATTGAGTTCACATTTGGGTATTTTACAAAAATTTTTCAAATAACCAACTTTCTTTCCACACTGAAAATTTAAGATGCTAAAGCTCTTATTGCATTCAACATTTAAGAGCCCAAGATATATAGATATTGGCAGAAACTCTAAGAGATCATTCAGTACATTAGTTCTTATCTCTATCTGACCCAATGCTGCCTTTTAATAATTAATAGTTTGTAATGCCTTCTTGGTAAACATGAAATAAAATTAATAATAAAATATAATATTCAATAGGCAAAACTAGACTAGAAGAAACTGAGAAAATGAAAGCAGCTGAATTAGTCAATGATTGCTGCATTACAAACCTCAAAATCTCAATGGTTTTAAAAAGTAAATATTTATTTTTCACAAAATTGAAAGTTAATGGAGACACCTTTGCTGAGGTTACTCTGCTCCAGGAGATCCTCATGCTCTTCCTGAGACCAATAGGCAAAATGGAGCACTGTCTTCTGTTGACTATGGCAATAGGAAAAGTAGGAAAAAACAAGCCCTCTCAAGGTGGCATGTGCCACCATACTTAGCTAATAGTTAAATTTTTTGGTAGAGACAATGTCTCATTATATTGCCTTTGTTGGTCTTGAACTCATGGGCTCAAGCGATCTTCCTGCCTTGGCCTCCCAAAGTGCTGGGATTACAAGAATGAGCTACCATGGCCTGGCCCAGCTTGGCATTCTTTGGCTTATAGATATATCACTCTAATCACTGCCTTTATCACTAGGCTCGGGACCAATGCCATGTCATGTCTGCTCACATTTCATGGTCCAAAGCAAGTCACTAAGTCAAGGGGCAGAGAAAGTTACTACTTCGAGTGGGAGGAGTGGCACAGTTACATGGCAAAAAGTATGGATACAGGGAGGGATGGAGAATTGGGTCCCCTAATTGATCTAACTCAATGCCTGAGTATTACTAGTCTTTCAAGACCCTGATCCCCATGCATCCAGCTTCTGTTGGAGCCCTGTATTAATTGCTAGGGCTGCCACAAACTTGGAGGCACAAACAACAGAAATGTACCCTCTCTCAGTTCTGGAATCCAGATATCTGAAATCAAGGTGTCAACAGATTTCATTTCTTCTAAGGGCTATAAGAATCTGTTCCATGCCTTGCTCCTAGCTTCTGATGATTTGCTGACCATCTTGTCATTCTTCTTTTTTTTTTTCTTTTGAGACAGGATCTCTCTCTGTCACCCAAGTAGGAGTGCAGTGGCATGATCCGGCTCACTGCAACCCCTGCCTTCTGGGTTCAAGTGATCCTCCCACCTCAGCCTCCTGAGTAGCTGGAACTACAGGTGTGCACCACCATGCTTGGTTAATTTTTAAATTTTTTTGTACAGATGATATCTCACTATATTCCCTTCACTGGTCTTAAACTCATGGGTGGAAGCGATCCTCCTGCCTCAGCCTCCCAAAGTTCTGGGATTACAGGCATGAGCTACCTTGGCCTGGCCCAGCTTGACATTCTTTGGCTTATAGACACATCACTCCAGTCACTGCCTTTATCTTTCCATGGCATTCTTCCTGCATGTGTGTCTGCATCCTCATTACCCTCTATGTAAGGACACCAGTCATATTGGATTAGGAGTCCTCCATACTCCAGTATGACCTTAATATAATTACATATCTGATGATCCTATTTCCAAATAAGGTCACATTCAGAGGCACAGGTGTTAAAAACTTGTGATGGCTAATTTTATGTGTCAACTTGGCTGAGCTAAGGGATGCCCAGGTAGCTGGAAAATTTATTTCTGGTTGTGTTCATGATGGTATTTTTGGAAGAGATTAACATTTGAATTCATAAACTGAGCAAAGAAGAACCACTTTCCCCAGTGTGGTTGGGCATCCAAGCCACTGGGACATCCATCTTCTGCCCTTGGACATCAGTGCTCCTAGTTTCTGGGCCTTCGAACTCAAATTGGAACTTACACCATTGGCTGTCCTGGTTCTCTGGCCTGTGGGCTTGAATTGGAACTATACCATTAGCTTTCTGGGCCTTCAGCTTGCAGATGGCAGAATGGTGAGATTTCTTATCCTTCATAATCACGCAAGCCAAGCCCTCATAATAAAGCTGTTTTTATATATCTATATTTTAATCTATATCTTATTGCTTCTGTTTCTCTGGAGAACGCTGACCAACACAGACTTTAGCATATAAATTTGCAGGGCAGGAGGTGGGACACAATTCAGCCCCTAACAACCCCCAACTGATTTTGAAGTGTGAAGGGAATGAGATGGCGGAGGGGAAGTAAAGGCAGGATCACTGTGCTACTACCTACTAGTCATAAGCCTGGTTGAAAATAAAATAAAGGAAATGTTTGCATAGTAGAGTCCAGAGGAGATAAGAGGAGGTGAAATCACATGCATTGGTGAGAGATTTGTCTTTACAAGCAAAACAAATTTTAAAAAACTAATAAAACACAAATTTTAGAAAACCCTTTATATTCTCTGACAAGACAACTTTTATCTTACAGATGAAACATTCATTAACACATACTGGGTGCCTACTGTGTGTCAGGCATATTATCTTCTATCCCACAATAACCTGAAAGTATGGCACCACTGTCTTCACTTTATATATGAGAAACCTGAAACCAAGAGAAATCAGAAAAATAGTTTGGCTCATAGTTTATAAAGCATGAGGTTCTCCAAACCCAAGCATGCCTGTTTCATCTCAACCACTTGTCTGTTGCTGAGTAACTTGAGAAAATCCCAGATGTCATTGACTAGGAAATGATGTCCTGAAATCCCTCCTGTTTGGTCAGTGTTTCCCATGGGATAATAGATAAGAGGACAGCTTGATTACCCTATTTTTTTTTTTTTTTTTTTTTTTTTTGGCCTCTGAGGTCCACCTTTAGGAACACCTTTAATCATAAATTCTTAACACTTTACCTCCTCCAGGTAGAATAGTAAAATTTCTCCTCTTGTTCTTGAGACCTTTTCCAGGCTTTCCTTATAACATTCATCATGTACTAATCAATTTGCTTATTCATGCTTTCCTTTGTAATTCAACTGAAGTCCAGAATTTTCTTTTGTCTTTGTATCTCCAATGCCTAATATACTGACTGACACATGTCGGGGAGGGACTTAGTGGGAGATGACTGGATCATGGGGGCGGTTTCCCCATGCTGTTCTCCTGATAGTGAGTGAGTTCTCACAAGATCTAATGGTTTTATAAGGGACTCTTCCCCCTTCACTCTCTCTCTCTCTTTCCTGCTGCCTTGTGAAGAAGGTGCTTGCTTCCCCTTCTCCTTCCACCATGATTGTAGATTTACTGAGTCCTCCCCAGCCATGTGGAACTGTGAGTCAATTAAACCTCTTTCCTTTTAAATTACCCAGTCTTGGGTGTTTATAGCAGTGGGAAAACAGACTAATGTATCAACATATGCAAATAGAATTTGCATATGTTGGAGACAGAAAATCTCTCTCTCTCTCTCTCTCTCTTTCCCTCTTTCTCTTTCTCTCCTATTAATTCAATTAATTTTCTCAAGAACCAAGTGAGGAACGTGCTCCTATTGCCCACATTTTGCAAAAAACACTGAGATTTAACAAAACGAAGTATCTTGCCCCAAGTCACCCATCTAAGAAGTGGAAGAGCCAGTCAAGGCCTTGGTCTGCCCGTGCCTGCCAGTGCTCTTGATAACACAATATGGAAAGTGCCCTTTAACAATGATTGGCAGTCAGTTAATTACTTTAGGATTTCATTCTAACCTTAGAAAATCTTCCCTCTCCTTTTCCAATAACGGATATAAAATAGAGGAACCTCATTTGTGTTGAGGACAGGAACCCGACACTTCTATCTGTGTCAATAGTCTCTGGCTCAGTGACTACCATATATGGGTGCTCAGTAAATCCGTAGGAGCCCAATACAGGACATGTTCAATCTTTATGCTAGAGGTGTCTTGGGCACAGAGGGCCAGGATGACCTTTCCAAGATCAAACCCATGCCTCTTGGCTCAAACCCTAATCCATCTCTAGAACCTGGGGATGTATATTATATAATGTTCTATAAACTTTATATAATTTGTCCTCATGATACTTGCTTGGGTAAGTATGAGAATTATTTCCATTCACATGAAAAAAAGGTGGTCTTGGAGAAATGCTAAATGACTTGCCCAAGTTCACATAGCTAGTAAGTGGCAGAGCTAAACTTTAGACCCAGGTTTCTTTCTCCCCAGCCCCTCTGCATTTTCTCCAGCGTAGTCTACCAACAAATCAGCACTGTTTACTTGGAGATTTTCAAACTGGCTGCAACGTGACCTGTTGAGGCCACACACATATAAAAGAGGGAGGGAGCTGTATTCTTTACTCTGTGCCAGATTTTGCTCAGATATGAAAATAAAGCTACTGAAAACTGTAGAACAGAAGCTGTTGACACTTTTTCCTCAAAGACTGGTAATAGGTCTTCAAGAATCCAGACACATGTTGCAGTCCAGTTTATCTACAGCCAAGAGTGTATTTACAGGATAGCAATTAGCTGTGGTCTCTCCAGTCAAGGAACAGGATTAACCTAATTAGCCACTAATGTCACCAAATGCATGACCTGAAAAGGCAGGCAGGGGCTGCCCAAGCTGGAATAGCCAGCCACCAACAGTAGTTTAGAGTACCTCATACAGAGGAGGAGACTTATTTCAGTAGCATTTCAATTAAACACATCACTAAATCATACAGACACATGCAAATATAAAAATGCAAATTTGAAATACAACACTTTCTTGTAGGTGATTTTGGGACTGAAACAGGGGACTGAAACTTCACACAACCACTGTTTTGTCTCCGGTGGATTCCTAGGGAGTATCTCAGTGCCTTGCACTCAATACTGTTTACTGAGTAAAGGAATCAATGAGTACAAACATGATCTTATGAAAGCAAAATCACTTATAAAGCTACATACATCTCTAATTCTCATTTGGTTTTAACTTCCCCATTGCAATTAAAAGTCTACCTTCATTTCCACGCATATCAACCAATATCCCCCAAAAAGAAAGTTGCATGAAAAAAGTTGCATGAAAAAAACAGAAAAGTTGCATTAAAAAAACAGAATTCCCACCGTGTCCCAGATTTTCCAAATAATCCTGCCATTCGGAAGCCTGTTCATAGCCCCAAAGTACTGAAAGGCCTTGCAAAATGCTCATAGGTGGAACAGCAGGAAGCATCTAGAGCCATCTCAGAGGGAGCCTTCTGCTTCCAGAAATAAATTCACACATTCACAGGTGCTTCCTGTTTTTTCAAACACCTTGCCCACCTTCTGCACACCAAGCGTGGATTCTGCAAAACGTGAGCCCAACAGGAAGCTGCCTGCAATTTCAGGTAGCTTTTCTGACTCTTAAAGAGATCTCAAGTATACCTTCAGAGAAATGCCAGCAAAAACTGTAGTCATTTGGGAAGGAATAAGCCTGGAAGAAAAAGATACAACGAACTAGCACAACGAGGGTGAGAACATTTTTCATGAAAATGCTGTTTGTAAATTACATTTTTAAACAAATAAATGTGTTTTCTTTAGGTTTTTAGCTCCTGTGGGTGGAATTAGGAGAACCAACTGTAAGTGGGTGGTGTTTGTCATATCTCTGCTGTGAGGGAGGAAGAAGAAGGAGGAAGGCTGGGGTGGAGAGGAGGAAGGAGACCCGCATGGCTGGAATGTCTCCACTGAGCTCAGGGGGATGAATTCCTCTGAGACTTCTTCTATTTCAGGAAGCTCACAAACCCTTCCTGAGATCTCAGAATAACCTTGAAATGAACATGTAGAACATTGATTAAGTTGTGAGAGTGTTCACAGTAAGCTTTGATTGAACTATTCTAGGGAATTTCTTCTTAACATGGTCACAGGTGGATGAGTTGGGAAGAAAATGCCATGGGCGCCGTACTCAGTTTTAAAATGAATTCAGAGAAGTTGTTCAAGGTGGTGAGTGCCATGTCACATATCATAGGTCTTGGATAATTTAGGGTGATTTTTTAATTGTAATTAAAACTACTAATTGCATAATTACTGCTAACACTACTGGTTCAGTTCCAAGTATGTATTCTTACATTTGCTTTTGTTTTGTTCTGTATTTTCCCAGCCATATTGCCAAATTAAGTTAAATCACGTAAATAATTTTGCTTATTAAATTGACTTCTTAATGTTCTTTTTTTCTGAAATGAAACTAAAAACAATATCTACAAAGTCAAGCTTATTCAACTTAACTGGTAAAAGGGCTGCATGGGAGAATGTTTCTCAGCTGAAATTCAAAGAAATGTCTTTAACCTACAATGGTCAGAACTGGTCCATATAAATCCTCTCTGAGCTCACCTTTGGCAGTGAATTAAGGGAACAAAGTTAAGAGCGATTAGCTTTGTTTTGCTTGTAGTAACAAAAATAGAAACATCTGAACATCTTATATGACCAATAGAAGCTTTCTAATCCTTTTTTAAAGGAAACTTTATACACCTAAGGGTTTGAAATACATTAATACTTTTTTTTTTTTTGAGATGGAGTCTCGCACTGTCGACCGGGCTGGAGTGCAGTGGCGCGATCTCAGCTCACTGCAACCTCCGCCTCCTGACTTCAAGTGATTCTCCTGCCTCAGCCTCCCAATGGCTGGGATTACAGGTGCCTGTCACCATGCCCAGCTAATTTTTTGTATTTTTAGTAGAGATGGGGTTTCCCTATGTTGGCCAAGCTGGTCTCAAACTCCTGACCTCGTGATCCGCCCGCCTCGGCCTCTCAAAGTGCTGGGATTACAGGCATGAGCCACCGCTACATAAATAATTTTTTTTTAACTTTAAACTCTGTTCTACACAAGAAATTATTTATCTTCCACCTGCCCTATGTGGTTTGGTGAAGCACCATGTCACCATGTGCATATGGCTATTAAAGATCCAATATGAACATGCTATAGTTTCAAACAAGTTGCTGTCCAGAAAGAACCTGACATCCTCTCGGGACACACACATATCACAGTAAAATGATACCAGATAATGGCAAAGGAGGGATGGAGTCTAGACTTGGTCCTATTATTTACCAAGTATCTCTAGGTTTCCATTTTCTCATTAGCAAAAAGAGGAAATTGGATTATGTGTTCTGTAAAACTGCTCCTAGCTTTAAAGTGTATTGATTATTAGGTTTTAAGAAGATCTGAAATAAAAGACGGCACATGCTAAGTGGCAGATGAGCTGCTATAATGGTTCTGAAAAGGAAGTGACTGCATAGGGTTGGAGCATCTGGGAAAGCCCCCGTGGGGTTGAGAGGTGTGGCTGGCTCTAGAAAATGGGCAGAACCTAAGAAGGTAGAGATGAGGGGGAGCAGTTCACAGGGCACACTCAGGAGACCAGGGGATGCTCGACTGTGGCTAGATCCAGACAGACCCCCGATGCACATGTGAGTGCTAGAGAAAATCTTGTTTCTTGCCACCTTAATGAATGAGGATAATAAGATCACTTGTGGGAAAGTTTTAGTAGCTAAGACTGCTGATCCAATGGGCAAAGCATCTTCAAAGGAAAGCCCGCAAGATGGGCCATGTTAAACCCAGAACTTTTGCCAAGGCTCTTTGGCTTCTCCGCACCAGGGAGGTCTCAGTCAGTACTTCGTACTGCAACTATGCCCTCACATGACTCCTCTCTTTTAAATAGCTGGAAGTCTCTTAAACAGGTTCAAAAAACAAGACTTCCTAATACAAAACCAAACAAATTCTGCCATCTCTTAGCTCTGTGACCTTGAAAAGTTTGTTTTAAATGAAATAGCTCAAGGATAGAGAAAATTATCTAGAATGAAATAATAAGTGTCCATATGCTTGTCATCCAGCTTTGTTACATGTTATTGCTCTTAGTTATTTTCTCATAGTTATTTCAGATTTTTCACAAGGAAAGAAAGGTTAAAGTTGACTCTAATTATGTACTACCTTTCAAGCCAATTCTCTTCCTCTCTCTCTCTTTCTCTTTCTCTCTGTCTCTGTATCCAGGAGTAAACACATTTTGAATTTGATGTTTATCTTCCCGTGATGTTTCTGTATTTATGCTCCATAGACACCTACAAATAATATTGAGTATTGTTTTGTGTCCCTAGATGTTATATGAATGGTATCATACTTTGCATTTCTTTTAATATCTGGCTTTGGTAATTCACCATTAAATTGTTGAGGTTTATCCATGTTGATACACATTATTTTCACTGCTACATAGTATTCCACTGAATCATTATTCCAAAATTTATCAATCTATTTTCTTGTTAGTGGAATCTTGGGTTGTTTAAAAGATCTTTCTATCTCGAATAATGTTGCAACATAGCCCTCTCACGTGTTTCCTCCACATAGGTCAAAGCTTACCTAGGAGCCATTGGAGGACACATATACTGTTAGTTTTGGAAGGTATTATATAACTGCTCTGTCCTTTTCTAACAGTGACAGCTTCCAATTCTCTACATCCTTGCCCACGTGCAACATTTTAATCCTTTTCAATTTGATAGGTATACTATTTTAATGTATGTTTACATGCTATAAAAGCCTTTTATGCTCCATTGTACAGAATACTGAAGTAAAATCTCTATTTCTCTTGCTGCATAGCCCAGTCTAGTTCCTTTTAGGACTAATCTAATTCCTTTCAGTTTATGGTATTTTGGTTACCAAATTAGACACTGTTTTTCTTTGAGTAAATATATCTCAAAGCAAGTGTTGACTTTGCACAGTAACAATGAAAGGTAAATTGTTTGCAAAAGTAGAGATAATATCACTGTGCCAACTTTAAGGTTCAGAAAACATCCCTTGATTTCGTATCCCATTTTCTTTCCCTTTGGTCCTCCCACCAGTTGATAACCACCATGAACAGCCAAAATACTGCATGCAAAATTATATTTGTGATATTTGCAGCTTGACTTAAGAAAATGAAGTAGCCGAAAATCTGAGAAATATGTCCTCTTGTCACTTTCCTGTCCTTGTGCAGTGCTGAGGGATTTCAGACACAAACAGGTCCCCATTAGGCTCGAATCACTTTGATAAATCTCTGATAAGCATCAAGGTTCTGGGGCTTTTTACAGAAAAGAATTTCTTTTTCTTTATTTTTTAATTTCTGAATTTCATTGGGCAGATGAAAGTTCCTCTGTTTCTTTAGAAAATCACCCTCTGTTTTTTACGCAGTTCATGATGTACTTTCTTCTTTCACTCGGACAGGATTTAGAAGAGCAATCTGGCATTCATCTCAGTGAAAGCATCAAAATATCTAACTCTGTCAGATCATTAAATAGAACACTATATAGTTATAAAATACACATCTTAAACCATTTATAAAAGGTCATTGAGGAATCTTAAGTGATCTGAAAAATGTTCATGAGATAAAGCTCAGGCAGTGGAAATAAACTATATGTATATGTGCATATCAAAAACAGTTCCATCTCTATCTTTCAATCTATTTCTCATCAATCTATCTAGATAAAAGAAATATACCAAAATGCTAACAATGAATATCTTCCAGTGAAGAGATCATGAATTATTAAACACTTAAAAATATATTTCTGATTTTCCAATAGTTCTACCATGAACATATATTATTTTTATGACCTAAAATGATTAGAACAAAAGGCACTTATTAATAAAAAAGATAATGTAACAAAGTTCTAAGAAGACATAGTCTTATAGTATGGAGGCTTGATAAAGAAATTTAATATATTCAGTTACTTTTCTTTTGACTTTCCTTTTATTTTTCTTTTTGCAAACTCTTTCTGAGTTGAACATAGGTTTGGGAAAATAACAGAATTGTAACTTTCCACATATATTTCTTAAACATACGTTTAGTAAATTTAGACATGTACAAGTATGTCTAAATGGTAGCCTGCTGTGGTTTATTTGCATAAAGGGCAGAGGGTCTCAGTAATAACAAGTTATTATTTTCTTAAGGTTGATGGTTAGTACCATCATGTTCCCCCCAAAACCCCACTCATTGTGGCATGGGGAATAATTTAACCTTCCAAGCATTGGGAGGCATGTCAGTAGAGGAAGGCAGTCATCATCACAGGAGAGTTGTTGTACACAGGTTGAATTGGGGTTGTCCTTTGGCTAAAGAACTCAGTTGCACCTTCATACAGTGACAACAAGCTTCCTGCCCCTCCTTCAGAGAAGAGCCATGGCCCTCAGTAGAGGGAGCTATAACAGAGAATGAGTTAAATGAATGCTTTATTAACCAGTGTTGGTTCAAATCAATAAGTCACAGAATGCCCAGTTTCATTCATATCCGTCAACGCATCGTTACATCCATATGGAGGTACAGAAAGGAAGGACAGTAGGTGGATGATGTTGTGGGGATCTCCTACCCCTCCTGAGTTCCTATTACATCTATTATAATCACAATCCTACACTTATTTCTTGAGTAAACAAATACGGAGATTTTTTAAATATGCTGCTTTATCCTAACTTGGTAAAACCCCTATATACAATTACCTAAAACTAGGGGGAGAATTTAAATACAGCTTTCAAAGCAATTTAGCAATTGTGTATGAAATGGACACACAACATGTCTGCCGCTATTCTAAACATTGTAAGGCTGAAGAAATAAGACACTCCTCCAAAAAGAACATCTAGGGATCTTATCTGGATGATGAAATAGATGTACGTGAAGCACACAAACAACATTACATGTTCTAGGAGGTGCAGTAAGATGAAGCATCATAAGTGATGAAAGTGATCCACCGCAGATTTAAAGTATGGACCCTGGAATTGGCTTCCCTGAATTCCAATCTCAGTTCATTTTATTATTGGCTGTGTTTAAAGAAACTTAGGCAAGTTACCTAACCTCTTTATGCCTCAGTTTCCTCATCCAGAAAGTGGTGAAACTAATATGTTTCATAAATTGTATATAATATGCTTACAAGAGTGTCTTAATACACAGATGAAGCTCAATAAACAATTACTTTTATTACTATCAAATGTCAAGAAAACTAGTTTAGAGACTACATGTGATACTTAGAAAATCTTTATTGCCAGGGTTGGACCAGGCTTTTGAGAGAAAGTGCCTTTTAGAAATGGCAGGGTGGGCTGAGAGTGGTGGCTCACGTCTGTAATCCCAGCACTTTGGGAGGCCAAGGTGGGAGATCATGAGGTCAAGAGATCGAGACCATCCTGGCCAACATGGTGAAACCCTGTCTCTACAAAAAATACAAAAACTAGCTGGGCATGGTGGCGCGTGCCTATAGTCCCAGCTACTCAGGAGGCTGAGGCAGGAGAATCGCTTGAACCCAGGAAGCGGAGGCTGCAGTGAGCTGAGATTGTGCCACTGCACTCCAGCCTGGTGACAGAGTGAGACTCCATTTCAAAAAAAAAAAAAAAAAAAAGGGCCGCGCACTGTGGCTCACGCCTGTAATCTTAGAACTTTGGGAGGCCGAGGCGGGCAGATTACGAGGTCAGGAGATCGAGACCATCCTGAATAACATGGTGAAACCCTGTCTCTCCTAAAAATACAAAAAATTAGCCAGGCATGGTGTCATGTGCCTGTATTCCCAGCTATTCGGAAGGCTGAGTCAGGAGAATCACTTGAACCTGGGAGGCAGAGGTTGCAGTGAGCCAAGATTGCGCCACTGCACTCCAGCCTGGGTGACAGAGTGAGACTCGGTCTCCAAAAAAAAAAAAAAAGAAAAGAAAAGAAATGGCAGGGTGAGATATTCAAATAAAACTTTCAGTTTGCCTTTTACAAAAGACTGAGGATTATTTATCCCAACAAATGCAAAATCATTTCCATAAAGAGTAGAAAATATAAGTGGTAGGAAGAAATATATCAGCTGATTATTTTCTTTAAAACAAGAATCTCAGATCACTCATTTGACATTTCTCTTCAGAGTTTGAAAAGTTCATGACAGCTCACAGCTGATGATGGTGGCAATCTTAAGGATACAGAAAGCTCATTCCTCATGCAGGGAAGAAGAAAATATTCTAAAGAAGAGATAAGCATATTCCATGAAATCAAAAAAGGTAGGAAAACAATATTTATTCATTAACTCCTTCACTCACTCAACGAACATATATTTAGTGCCTACTATGTGTTAGGCATGGTACCAGAATCTGGAATCCAAAATTTAAAAAGTCTCTGTCCTGAAGAGTTTACAAGACAGGGCAGTAAGTAAGTGATCAAAATACCGTATGATAGCAATTAGTACAAGGCATGGAGCTGAGCCTGGATAGTAAAGCAGAGGCCATGTGAATGAGTTTTGTCTTTATTCTGATACAAATGTGAATCCATTGAAAGATTTAAACAAAGAGAATGCCATCTAACTAGTTTCATTCTTAAAAGATCATACTTGTTGTATAGTGAGAACAAATTGAATGGTGAATCAGAGCTGAGATTTTGTTATTTTTATAACTACAAAATCTTGTATAGTTTTCTACACCTATAAAGTACAATGAGTTCACACCCTCTTAAATCTATGTAGCTGTGTGTCCCTCCATGCTATTATTCATCTAGCAGTCTGCCTTCTGCTCCCACTCATTTCCCTACAATGAGTAACAGAACTGCAAGTAGACAAAGAAGGATGGAGAATGAACTTGGCTTCTCTCTTTCAAATGGAAGCTAGCAGAAAAGCTCAGGAACTCACACCTTGAGGAGAGGGTAATATGCAGTGGTTAATAACATAGGATATTGATTTAAAAACCAGTGTTGTCCATTGCTCATTCTATGACCTTAGGCAAACTTGTCAATATTTCTGCTCTTAATATCTTTACTTTATGATGGTAATAAAGTTATTTCTATCTTTTATTTGTCAGACTCAGCTAACTACTATAAGAAATAAATCAAATCTCAGAGGCTTAACACAATAAAAATGTATTTCTGGTTCAAGTTAAGAAAAGGCATTAACTAAAACAATAAGATAAGTTATTATAATATAAAATAGCAGGATAAAAACATTACATAGATAACTTACTATTTTATATACATAAACAATGATTATTTAGGAGATGTAATAACAGAAAAACCCTCATTTATAATAACAACAAAGAACATGAAACACTTAAATAAACTTAAAAGGAAATGTGCAAAAACTGTATGAGGAAAGCATTTCTGAAAGACATAAAACACTGAAGAAGAGCCAAGAAAACACTTAAAAAGAAAAACTAGAAGGAAGAACTAGCCCTATCACACATTAAAACATACTATAAAGTCTTCATAATTAAGAGTGTAGGATGCAGGTGCATGACTAGGCAAACGAACTGATAGAATAAATTAGAAAGCCCAGAAATTGACTCAAGTACATATGGAAATTTAGTATATGATAAGTGACATCACAAAATTGCTGGGGCAAGAAAATTTTAATAGATGGTTCTGGGACAACTGGATAGGTATTGGGAATGAAATAAGTTTAGATCCATATCTCACACCATATACAAGCATAAAGACCCAATGAAAAAGAGATATAATATAAATGTAAAAAAAAATTTTTTTTTAAATAGCAGAAGAAAACATGGGTGAATTTCTATTTAACGTTGGTATAGGGAAAGATTTTCTAACCATGACTCAAAATCCAGAGGCAATTAAAAAAAAAAGATTGACGAGTGGCCACATAAAAATAAAAATTTTAATGCATGGCAAAAACACCATAAACAAAGTCAAACAACAAACAAACTTTAAAAAAATGCTTGCAACATTAATCTTTCTATAATAAAGTATATATTCTGCTAATATATTAAAAACTCCTAAAATTGAAAGAGAAGGGATTTTAAAAAAATATTGAACTAGATAAAGAAACAAGAGTAGATAATTCACAAAAAGATATATAAAAAACCTTGTAAGATAGCAAAAAATGTTTAATATCATTCATAACTAGTGAAATACAAATTAAAACTTTATAGGAATATTATTTTTCACTTATCAGATTGGCAAAAAAATTAAAAATATGGCAGTCATCTGTAGGGAAAGAGATACCCTCACACATTGCTGGTGACAATGTCAAGTGGTACAAGCTTTATAGAGGGAAATTTGGTAATGCCTAAGAAACTACACATACACTTATTTTTTAATTCAGCAATTCCACTTCTAGGAATTTACCCAGAAGATACACCTCCGATAAGGCAAAAATATATTTGCACAGGGTTATTAATTGTGACATTGTTGTTATTGCAAAATATTGGAAACAATGTAAATATCTGAACACAAGAGAGTAGTTAAACAAATTGTGTACCTCTACAGGCTCTAAGAGAAAATAAAATAGAAAAGGATTCCTGTGAACCTATTTGGATTGTTTTTCAGAACACAATCCAAATAGGTTTTTCTTAAGTGAAAAAGAAAAAAGACAAAGTGCAAAAGAATATCTATTATGTGTCAACTTCTATGAAAGAGAGACCAAAAAAAAAAGAAAAAGAAAAAGAAAGAAAACCACAAAAAGGTTAACCCAGGAACTAAGATTGCTTATATACAGGGATAACAGGAAGGAGTTGGGGTGCAGGGGATGATGGGGGTGGGAAAGGAACACTTCTCTGAGTATAACTCTTTCTACAGTTCTGACTTTTAGAAACCATGGTAATGTTTCATTACCAAAAATATAAATAAATGACTAAAATCAAGCAGGGTGAAGGGAGAACCCAAAATTCAATACAAACAATAACAAATGAGCCTAACTCAATTACAAACCACACTGAAGGGGATGAGGAAGAAAAGAATGAACTGAAGACAACTTTGAAATCCAATGTATTATTATATACATGTATTATTAATACAATGTACATATTATATACTCTAAGACCAAAGACCAACAGGAATGTACACAAACATTTTACATTAGTTTGCAAGCTCCCCAGCCCCAAAGAGGCATTGGTTAGTAATTATAAACCCAGTTAATGTTTATTTTAGGATTGTGCAAATAAGTAAATAATATTTGGATAACAAGAGGGAGATTTCTTACTTTTAGAGAAATGAGTTACTAGTAAGGAAAGGAGGAAGGCTAGAATTAACACTGTAATACTGGACTGAAATCAAATGTATTGGTATGAACTGATGGTGATAGATAGATGATAGATAATAGATAATAGATAAGATAGATAGATAGATATAAATAGGAATCAAATGTATGAACTCGTGGTGATAGATAAATGATAGATAGATAATAGATGATACAGAGATAGAGACTTAGATTATGTGTATGTACACATGTTTATTATAAACAGATTTTTATCTAGCTTTGTCTGATGAGAGGGCCTAAAAGTAATGACACCAGTAGCAATGAACACAAAGAGCACCTAGATCTTGCTTTCTAGATGACATTATTTAATAAAAGAAACCAAGGATCCTTGAGAAATGACTGAGCTCATGGCTGGGGCAGGGAAAGTACTGTGTAAGATTATCCTGGAACATCTTGTGCCAGAAAGAAAAGAAGCAGTAAGAACAAAATGGTGGACACATGTTGAAAGGACACAGAAGCCAACTTGAAGGGGCCCCCAGTGGTCAATTGTGAGCCAATTTGAAGAACAAAGTAAATTATGGTAATAATGGAGTATAGCATATAGAATAAAATAAGTATTCATGACTGCATACTGATATACTTCAATAATGAAATAACTAGCAAATGGGAGAGAAGGGAAAGCTCTTCTTTACAGTAGAATTATAATTAACGAGTGTCAAATAAATTATTAAAGTAAAAAAAATCACTAGTTGGCGATGAGTGGGGCAATATATAAGAAACAGGATATTTACATAGTCCTAAAGTCTCTCTCTACGAAGTCCTTATTAAATACAAAAGTAAAAACAGTTCCTTTACAGTGGAGCAGTCTGGCAGACACTACCTTAACCAAGTGTTGAAGGCTAACATCACCAATAATAAGAAGTATTCAACAAAAAGGACCCATGATATATGTACTGAGAAGCCCACAATATCGCTTCTGTGGTAGTCTTACTAAATATGTATAAGCTGAATTTAATCATTATTACCTTAATCATAATCTGGATCTTGGCTATAAAATAGGCATTAATGTGATAATTGGCAAATGTTGAATAAGGTCTGGGGTTAGTTAATAGCATAATATCAATGTTAGTTTCTTGATTTTGAAAATTATACTGTGGTAAAGTAAAATATTAACACTGGGAGAAGTTTGGTAAAAGGTATATGGGAGTTCTGTGTACTGGCAACTTTTTTTAGTCTGAAATTATTTCAAAATAAAAAGGTAATAAAAATATTAAAAAGAAAGAAAAGGTATTTAAAAACATTTCTACCTATGATTACAAAACTTCATTTTAAAAGAGATGACTTAACACCCTCTCAAAATATATTTTCTTCTCAAAATAAAAATGTTGGCCACATGCAGTGACTCATGCCTGTAATCTCAGCATTTTGGGAGGCTAAGGTCAGAGGATGGAGAATAGCTTGAGGCCAGGAGTTCAAGACCAGCCTGGACAACATAGTGAGACCCTATCTCTATAGAAATAAAAATAAAAAACTAACCAGGCATCGTGGTGCACACCTGTAAGTCCCAGATTTGAGAAGGCTGAGATGGGTGGATTGCTTGAGCCCAGGAGTTTCAGACTGCAGTGAGCTGTGATTGCACTAACGCACTCCAGACTAGGCCACGGAACAAGGCCTTGTCTCTTAAAAAAAAAAGTTAAATACTTTCTTAAAAAATACACATGGAAAAACATATTTATTCCATAAATTCTCCCCCAGATCAATATGTTCCTTTGCTCTGACCCATTGTTTTATTTTTTTCTGCTATTGTTCATATTTTCAGAGGATATGACCTGGGTAATGAAGTAATTTTTTTATAAATTAATCCTAGTTATAATTTTACCTCAGTGAATTTGAGCATCTTAGAGTCGAATTTTATGTACAGATATATGTTTTTCTAGGCAACAGATTTAGAGAACTTCATTTCTATTCAAAAAGCCTAGGTATAAAGGCCTGGCATCCTTACTCTATAAAGGATAGGCCTATTTTATAGACCACAAGACTCATCACTACTCAATAGTTACCTCACACTCCTAGTGTCAAACCAGAGCACACACATACACACACATATATACTTGCACATACATACAAACACACATATAATGTATACATATGTGTGTGTATATATACATTTTCAATAACTTGCTAATCATGATGAATGCTGTCTTAACTTTTTTTTCAAACAAAAGTCCTCACATACTTGTTACTGAACCAACCTAGTGCAGGGCACAGAAACAAAGATAAAACATTTTTTCATTAAAACATGTCCCACAGTACAGATAGTGGCAACGTTTCCAAGTTGATATGGTAAGATGCCAGTGACCCCAGTACAGCATGAATCTGAGTGCCATCTCATGTGCAAGTCCTTACAGACCCAGCTGAGTCTTCTCCAATGTCTCCTCTTGGAGTCGTAGGTGCTCTTATTACCAGTTTTCATCTGATTCCACTAGGGAATGGGATGATTTTGCTTTTGTTTCTTGGCCAGAAATCGCTTGATACTGAAAACCTTGCGAGCAGACATAGTGAGGAATGGAGTCAACCGCATACACCACAATGGCAGAGAAAGGGAGAGACCCGTCTTGTTTTATTTTAATGAAATATTTTGCTTTGGAGAATTCAAAGAAAAATATAGGAGGTCACCTGATTTTACCACCAGAGGGCATAAGACATTAAGAAGTAGGGCAAACAATGTCCACTTGCTCGTGAGATTCTCTGATTTCATGGTTTGAAATCTCTAGGTGGCTATTTCAAAAAATGAACTCAAACCCTAACCTGAACCAGAACACAGACCTAAAAACAAAGGTTTAATATTCTGCTACTGAAACATACCAGGAGGGAAAGCAGTTCACAGCATGCACTGAGGGCCACAGACAAATAAGCTACCTGCAAATGAGGATAGGAAAAGGTTAGGATGGAAAAGCTATCTTTTAAAAATCCTCAACCATGTTCTCAAAAATGTAATTTATTTACATGTGTTAATTATATTATTGATTTAGGTTAAACATTGAAATAAGTTGGCAGTGTTAAATTTGATGTTTCCTCTCCCGGTAATGTTTGAGAAAAATATTACCTGGTTAATGCAATCTTTATCTAGCAAAACAGGGGTGAGCTGGTCTAGAATCAATGAGACCAAGGTCTTGAGTTCAAATTGTGCGTGAGTCAGTGAACCTCTCTCTAAAACAGGGCCAAGCCCTCCTCCTAAACCGGCAAATGCACATGGTAGGTCATGGGGGGAGTGGCGAGAGAGCACACACGTGCATAGCACACACCCAGCACTGCCCTGGAGAACTCGAAATCAAACTGCACATTCTGTTGATGTTGTGTCAATGGACTCTCCCCATAAATAGTATTTGGCTCTCAGAGTCAGATAATTTAAATTTCTCCTATTCCTCTCACCACCCTCCCCTCAACTCCCACCTTTTACATTTCTATGTTCTTCCCCACGTAAGCCCCTTACCCTTTTAAAAATCTTTGATAGGGTGCATACATGGAAAAGGGGGTGGATTACTTATTTTAATGATTTAAAAATTATTTTAATTCTGCCAACAGTTTTCCAAAGTAGAAGCAACTTGGATGGGCAGGAGATTTTAATCTTAGACATAGACCCAACTGGTCTATCTCTATTCTCTGCATGAGATGGCACCTTACCCATTACAAGGATATCATTTCCCGCCTGCTCCCTTGCTTAAAAGTCTCTGGAGCTCATTTCATAGATGAGGACTTTTGAGGGAAACTGCATCTTTTTTGGAATTAACATGATATTACTATATCCAAAGGAGCCTTCCTGGGTTTGAGGATAATCAGGACTGATGCTGCATTTGTGCAGCAGAAAGTATCAGTGAGCCACATGCTGTCATGTGCTGCGTTCAAGTCTCTCTAAGTAGGTAAAAGTAAACTGGAGAACTGAGATAATCATCTTGACAATTTAGTCAAAATACTCTATATTTATTCTAGATATAAGGACTAAGAGCGTGTGTTATTTAGTATGTTGCTTTACACTTCTAAAATACTTGAGATAATTGCAATGTTTCTTTTACTTTTTAATAATAGTACTAGATATAATTGCATTACATAAATGTTCTGTTATCTTAAAATTGCTAGAGTCCATTTCTGACTAAAATATCTCATTATTTCATTTCTACTTCCTCACCTCTAGCTTTTTAATCAGTCTTTTATTGTCAGATTTCATTTTCCTCTTTAGAAATGGGTGAGGTGGAGCCCCAGTTGTGTTTAACGGGTATATGAAAACCATCTTTTGAATCTTCCTATCCAGGCTGTTCTTATTGTTGTGATACCTTTGGGAACACAAATGGAGTTGAGTGAGTCCCAGAGGAAAAGCCTACCTAGAACCTACTCAACCTGAGTTCATAGTTCATAGAAGCTAATCATATTCCCCCCTTTTTTTTTTTTTTTGCATTGAGCACCTGATTAACCTCCATGAGTCCACACTAGAAGTGACACTGAGAAAGAGCACATCTTCTCATCTCCCATGTGTCCCTCAAGGGTCCCTCATCACCTTCCCTTCCTGAACTCAGGTCAGATGGATTTCCTCCTTTCCCAAGCTTCAATGCCTCCCTTGCGCTAAAGCTTACAGAATCCGTATTAGGCCGGGCGTGGTGGCTCACGCCTGTAATCCCAGCACTTTGGGAGGCCAAGGCGGGTGGATCACGAGGTCAGGAGATCGAGACCATCTTGGCTAACACGGCAAAACCCCGTCTCTACTAAAAAAATTAGCCGGGCATGGTAGCGGGTGTCTGTAGTCCTAGCTACCCGGGAGGCTGAGGCAGGAGAATGACGTGAACCTGGGAGGCGGAGCTTGCAGTGAACCGAGATCGCCCCACTGCACTCCAGCCTGGGTGAGAGTGAGACTCCGTCTCCAAAAAAAAAAAAAAAAGAATCCGTATTAATTTGGCCACTATCCGAGGCTATGTTGGTTTGTATGTGGCAACAGTTTGTAAGCTTTGCTGACATTCAAAAACAGGACACTTGGGTATACTGGATAAAGCCCTGCCCTAGGGATCTGGATTGCAGTTGAAGCCATGCCCCCTCACACCTGAGTGGGCTTGGGTATGCACCTGGGGTAGTAGGGATAAAAACTTCAAATACTACTTCAAATATTTGAAGAAAATGCAGCTTCTCTGTTTTCTGTCATAGATCTACTCTTCCTCATAAACATCTACCTCACTGGGTACCAATGCATGGACAGCACTCTTTTATACTTGTCAATATTCAGTACTAAAGTCTCTTGTCTTTTAAATGGGCTCCCCCATGATGCATTTACTTTTGCATCTTCCCAGCTTCCTCTCTCTCCCCAGAGGATCTTCCAAGCTTCCTCAGGATCTTCCAAGCTTCCTCTGGATCTTCCCAGATTCCTCTCTTCCCAATGCTGGATCTTCCCAGCTTGCTCTCTCTCCCCAGAGGCTGGGGCTGATATAATCGTGTGGTAGCAAGGGAAAGGCATGTCAGAGCCCTCTGGATCCTCCGTGCATGGCCTGGTCCCCTCCCAGCTGATGTGTCACTCAGTCCACATGGGTCTTTGGAACATTTTTCTGGCACACCCTCTGGTTCTGACCATTTGCCCCTGGTTGTGCCTTCCTTCTCTACAGCCTCTGTGCATCTTCAGGCCTCTGCCAATTCCCTGGGCTTCTTAACACCAATACGTCTGCTTGTCAAGGCTCAAAGAACTTTTCAGAACCCATAGGATCAAGACTGTCACTACTATCTCACCTCACACATTAACAAAGAGTCTTCCAATACGGTCTTTTTTCCCCAAGTGCTCCAAACAGTGATGGGGAAAAATTGGACTCTTCTCTGGACTTTTCTTAGCGGGATGCATATACTAAAAACCTGCCTCTCCAATTCTCTTTTCTGTCTCCTTTTTTGCAGTCCACTGGCACAGAAGGATAAACATCCCACTTCTTTCTAACACCTGTAAGGGACCTCTTTTTTATATCCTCTACATATCCTCTTTTCATATCCTTTCTGAGGTGACATTTATAGTCTCCTAAAGCAATCATGGTGGACAAGGTGCAAAGACAGAAATCTAGTTCACCCACAAAGCAAGATGTATCTGGAGAAATTCCAAAAATATTATCCCTCTTGCACCTAATTTTTCTAATTCTCAGTTTCCTCAGAAAAATTAAAGGGGGAGCGGGTAATAATGCCTGCACCTACTCTCCAGAGGGAAGATCTCTGTGTCCCTCTTGAAACCAATTTGAGTTAAAACTGCAGGAAGTAGAATTTCTCCAGATGCATTTATTCCTTAGAGGGTTTACACCCTCAGAAGGCCTATACTGACAGACAATCCTGTCTGCTGACTTAGCCACGATACAGCATGTAGAAATGCGCACACACATGCATGCACACGTGCATACACATGCACACACACAGAGCCATTCTCCCCTTACACCCACCTCTTTGGAAATGTCCTCCAATCTGTGTTAGGCTCAAACAGCAAAAAAACCCAAAAACGAAACCAAATCAAAACAATGATCCTTAAAGTCTCAATATAATTACAAATCCAATATGTTAACTTTTCTTAAATGATTCAAAAATCCTAAGAACAGACCACAATTATTTATGTATTTATTCAATAACTTGTCCTGGATGCTTGAATACCTCAGTAATCAAAATAGATCATGACCCTTGCCCTTATACTTGACAGGATGGGAAAGAGTGGGAAGAAGGGAGGCAGATACTAAGCAATATGCTAAATAAATAAGTAAATAATAATGTACATTAGAAGCAGAGGATGGAATAACAGAAATAGTAGAATACACAGGTTGAAAGCATTTATTATTATACCTTTGTTTCTCATATTTAAAGTAATTCATTTATTCATGTTTCTCTAGTTATTATACCTTCCCAGGGTTAAAATAACCTTTAACCTCCAAGAAATGGAATATTATCTCAGACCAGCTAAGACTGCAGATTACGGGTTACTGATCAATGAATTCTTAGGGCCTGGGGCCTGCTTGAAACTTCCGGAGGGATTCAAACTTAATCCAGTAACCATCTCTCTGCCTTTTTCCCTTCCTTCCCTTCTTCCTTTCCACTTTTTAGCGTAAAACGCTGGAGGAGAAGTCAGTAGCAAGCAGCTAAGACAACATGGTACATGTGGTGAGTACATAAGAGATTTGGTTTGTCACACACTAAGGAATTTGATTTTTACCCAACAGGTGATCAAAGGACAAAAGTGACAAGGTGGTTTTAAGAAATGTCTCAGGAAACTAATCAGCAGAGTAAATTTACAAGATAATTTTCAAAAAAATTCCGAATTTATTTATGCTATCAACCTTGTATAAAGAATTCTAGAAAAAAGTTAAAGAAGGAAATTTTTATGTATAAAACATTGAAAAACAAATTCCAGATTTTTTTATAAGCTGAGATTAATGAGTCAAATTCTAATGAAACCATCAGTATTTAGCCATCTCCCTCACTCATGAAGGAAGGGATCAGACATACCCATTGCGCTATTGTCTGGGAAGAATTCTAAGACAGCCCCATGATCTCTGCCCGGGTGTTTCATCCATAATTAGGTTACATTATAGGTGAAAGTGAAGGGATTTGGCAAATATAATTAAGGCCTCAAATCAGTTGAAAAGTTCATCAAAAAGGAAGATTATACTTGCTGGATCTGACTTAATTAGCTGGAAGCCTTTTTAAAGAGGGTTTGGATTTCACTGAGTCAGAAAGAGATTCTCCTGCTGGCACTGAAAGAACAGGCTGCCATTGGTTCTGCAGCTGCAAGGAAATGAATTTTGCCATTAAGCATGTGTGCTTGGAAGAAGACTTTGAAACTCACATGAGACCCTAGTCCCAGCTGATCCCTTGACGGCAGCTTTGTGAGACCATGACCTGAGGACCCAGTTAGGCCAAGCCTAGACTCCTGACCCATGGAAACTGTGAAATAATAAAAGCATGTTGTTTCAAGATTCTAAAATAGTGATAACTTGTTACAAAGCAATAGAAAAGGAATATACCCTTAGAATGATTTTTTAAAATCACATGGAAGAGTGCTTATCTATAAAAACAGTCAGTGTGTGTAGTAAAGGCACAGAGCCTAAAGCCAGACTACATGGGTTCATGTCCCAACACCACCCCTCCTTGTTGTGTGACCTTGGGCATGTTCCCCTGTGCTTCCATGCCTCCATTTCCACATTATGAAACGAAGATAAACACAGGACTCCATTCATAGGATTATTTTGAGAATTAAAGGACTTCAGTTATGCAAAGTCCCTAGAAGGGCAACTGGCACACAGTAAGCACTCTATGAATCATTAACTATCCTTATATGATGCAGCTCTACTAATTGTCAGTGGAGCTAGATATATCAAAGACTTTCTTCATATACCCCCTTGACAATTAAGAATGTCATCCTAATATAAACACTCAAGGCATTTGAAGAGATCAAATTTATCACTGTGTTGAGTTTCAATAATCTATTTTAGTCAGAAAAAATAAATAATGGATGAAATGATGCAAGAAATACAATCTCAATTTTAAACTGAAAAAATAGCTGGTGGAGACCTAATCATTCCTGAGAGTTTCTTAATGCCCTCTCTCCCCTAAGATTCAAATATCAGTCACAGTTTCAAAGTAATCACTATAATACATGAACAGCTGATGAAATCTCATGTTGTAATTGCCACATGTTATTTTCAAGGAATTGCACAATGCAAAACCTCTATATTTACACAATAAAATAGAAGGAAAATACTTTTGGGAAGGCTACTTAGCCATGACAGATAGATAGAAAGACAGAAGAATAGGAGGCAGAGATAGAGAAAGACAGAGGAAGGGAGAGATGGAAGAAAGAAGGAAATAGATGACTTGGTGCCCTCACGATGAGATGATACATCTTGAATCCCCTGGGTCAAATGGAATCTTAAATAAATAAGTGAAGCTTCTTCTGAAGCAATATAAATTGTTGAGCTATAGCTTCTTTAAAAAATCAGGCAAACTAAAAATGGAAAACCATTGTCTTAAGATATCCAACTAGAATTTAGCTAGGAAAAGGAAAAAGTCAATTGTGATATGAAGTTCAATACTGCTAAAGACTAGCTACCTCAGAATTGCAAGGGGGATCTTTTAAAAATTAGAGATACAGCCAGGCGCAGTGGCTCATGCCTGTAATCCCAGCACTTTGAGAGGCCGAGGCAGGCGGATCATGAGGTCAGGAGATCGAGACCATCCTGGCTAACACGGTGAAACCCCATCTCCACTAAAAATGCAAAAAATTAACCAGGCATGGTGGTGGGCGCCTGTAGTCCCAGCTACTCGGGAGGCTGAGGCAGGAGAATGGCGTGAACCCAGGAGGCAGAGGTTGCAGTGAGCCAAGACCACGCCACTGCACTCCAGCCTGGGCGACAGCACGAGACACCATCTCAAAAAAAAAAAAAATATGTAGAGATACATAGTCTTTATCCCAGAGATTCTAATCTAGGAGTTCTGGAGTTCACAGCAGGAAACTGAATTTTTAAAAAGCTCTTTATTAGTTAAGGTAAGTTTTAGAAAGAATCAAATTCCAAGGTGTCAGTAGATTAGCACAATAGAAATTAATTTCTTGTTCGTAGGATGGCTCATGGTGAGGTTGGTAGGAGGCTTCTCCACATGCAGTCATTCAGTGACCCAGACTATTTCCATCAGTGGCTCTCCCATATGCTAGGGTTTCATAGTCATCCGCATCCACCAAGTAGAAGGGGAAACAGCATGGAGGAGCACTATGGGAACTTGTAATGGACCAGACTGAAAGTAGCATGAATTTTCTTTTTTCCTCTCATTCTGTTAAGGAGATCTCAGTCACAGGGTGACAGCTACCTACAAGGGAGGAAGGGAAATACCATCCAGCTGGTGTTCCAATAAGAAGAGGCAGTAGATTTCAGTGAACAGGATGAGTGTCTGCTACAAGCACTCCATGTGATTTTATGTACAACTGGTGCATGATTGAAAGTTCACAGTTGAAAATACAACTTTTGAGTCCAAATAATCTAAATTCCAAACTTGGCCATTTGACAGCTATGTGATCTTAGGCAAAATATCTCCCCTCCTTGTGCCTTGGTTTCTTCAGTTATTCATCTTTTAAGTAAAGATTAAAAACATCCTACATTGTAAGGTTCTTGTGAGACTGAAATAAGACAATATGTTTAAAATAATTAGAACCATAACTGGCACTTAATAGTAACACATATTTTACTTAAACTGTATTGTCTAGGAATCAAGGTGTTCTGCTATTTGAGATAAGAACTCAGATGCATCAGTATCAGAATATATATTTTGTCCCAGCTGAATTATTACATTGGAACAGTTTTTTGTTTTTGTTTTGTTTTGTTTTTTGAGACAGTCTCGCTCTGTTGCCCAGGCTGGAGTGCAGTGACACAATCTTGGCTCACTGCAACTTCTGCATCCCAGTTCAAGCAATTCTCCTGCCTCAGCCTCCTGAGTAGCTGGGACTACAGGCGCCCGCCACCACGCCCAGCTAATTTTTTGTATTTTTAGTAGAGACGGGATTTCACTGTGTTAGCCAGGGTGGTCTCGATCTCTTGGCCTCGTGATCCACCCACCTCAGTCTCCCAAAGTGCTGGCATTATAGGCGTGAGTCATTGTGCCTGGCCTGGAACAGTTTTTAAAGGTAGAATTTTAACACACCAGAAGTTGGTTTCTTGCTCTCATAAAAGTTCCTGGGCAACTGGGCAGCTCTCCTCCATGCAGTCATTCCGAGATCTTGTCTTTTTCCATCTGGTGGCTCCCCAATCCCTAGGCTTTATCATCATCTCATCCAGTGTGTAGAGATACACCAGGGAAGCAGTACTCACTGTGGTCAGAGCTAAGAATTCAGTGCTGCAGTATTAAAATATTTGAAGCCCACTGAAAGAATAATTGATGAGTTTTAAAAATAAAATAAAAGCAACTTCCAAAATTAAGAAATTGAAAGTGTTGATAGTTGATATCTCAAGCTGATATTTACAATAATCTGATGATTTTAATTCAGAGTGTTTCAGATATTTTTAGATTTAACTTTTGCCACATATGAATGTTTACCACTACACCCAAGGGACTCCATGAACACTTCTGGAATAGGACCTAAGCTTTATGGTGCTAATCATTTGAAGCAAGTGAAACCATCATTGATAAGCTTGATGCTGTATCATTGAAAGGATTAATTTACAGAGTGGTTCTGAAGTCTGGACCACTATTAAGGCACTGTCCAATCAGTGAAGTTATCTATTTGAAGTAGAGATGACCTTTGTTCAGCATTTTTCAAAGCTGAGTAATGTATAGGCCTCTTTAAAGAAAAAAAATTCTCACTAAGCCACATGAATATATCCATGGTTTTCTGGTCTTCAGACGCCAGTTTGCGGAGTACATCCCTAGTCAAAATAATTCAGAGCAAAATACGTCTCTGCATGCCTCATCTTCTTGCTTTCTCCATCATTTTCCCAGTTTCAAACCTTACTTCCCCTACCCCTTGCCACAATCACACACTTTCTGTGCTGTCCTCCCCGGTAAGCATCTCATAACATGCTGCCTTCCATCTGACTTTCCTGATTCCATTCCAAGTTTACCTTTTAGGTCTTGTTCTTGTTTAATGAACTCTTGCTGACCATAAAGTTGATTAGAGCCTGGCTCCCCATGTGCTCAATTTACAAAGTGGTAGTCAATGTTCTGAACACAAGAATACAACCTCCTTCTGTGTTCTTGCCTTGGGCCGAACCACATATTAGGGAAGTGAGAGAAAAAAAATGTTTGGGATACCCTTCATGTGCCAGGCCTCATACAATCATTTCACTTTTTTACCCTCGTGCCCTTGGGAAATCACTCCAGCATTTCAGCTTCCTTTTACTCCTATGCAAAAGGAGGATGGTGACAATTTCCTAGGTTCAAATAATAGTTACTCTTTCTTTAGTTCCTTACTGTGTTCCTAGTTCTCTGTCAGGGGTTAGATGTATTATCTCGTTGAATCTTCAGACACTACTATGAGGTAGGTTTTTAGATGAGAAAACAGGCCAGAAAAGGTTTTGTAAATGGATCAGTCCATTTGGGCACAGTCCTCAGAGCTTTGGAGTTTTTCAGGTGATATTGGCTCAGCTGATAATATTTGCTTCCTAAGGCACAGTAACAACAGGAAACTGTACGACCAGAGGCATATATAAAATAAATAACCATCTCATCGTGCTCTCTGTTTAGCAGCACTTGTTTGGTGGTTCTTTGCCACATCAGCCCACTTTACAAGTAATCGAGTAAGGTAAACTTAAATTTGACCTAGTTTAATCAAACTGTGGGTTGTGGTTCAATCATTCAACAATTTATTACTAAGAATTTAAACAGTTTTAACAACCACTGTAAGTGCAGTCTTTCTTTTGTGGTCTCTCTCAGAAGCTAATGTTGCTATTTCTGACCACCCTGTATATACTGTAACTCCTCCAAAATAACCTGAAAATGCAAAAAGCGTTACATTTTCACAGACATCATACTTCAAAGAGCATGAATAGAAAGAAGGACCATGGAACTGATCTTGAGATGATGTTCCAGCAAATTCGAGCTCCCAATATCATCCTTGATTTTGCTCAATAATAACCTATATTGTTTACTTCCCACTTAATGAGAAAACTCAAATGCAGACTGAACTTGGGAGTGCTGGTGTCAACAGAACCATCAGACCGCAGCATGCTGAGACCAATTGGTCTCCACTACTAGTACCAGGCAGCCAAAGTGAGAGGATCAGCAAGGGCCAAAATCAATGGTGTTGGGGCCTCACCGAGGCAGCCCAACCTTACGGGAGCCAAAAGTCACCCCTGCTCAGCCTACAAGGCAAGAGGCACTTCTAATAGGGAAAGATTAGAGAGAATAGAGAAGCTTCTCCAGCAGATTCCAATGCTGTTGCCTTTCAGTTTCCTGTTTGGGTTTTGCAAGCCTCCTTCAGTTACCCTGGAATGTCAGAACAAGCAATCTGCTTTGAGTTGGGGAAGGTTTGATGTTTTTTTCATGTGGGGGTGTTAATTTCATCAGAAAGAAAAATGAAAAAAGCCCGCCTCCTGAGCTCAGTAGTGTGGCATGGAAATGTAGCACATCCTACTCTGATGTTTCTTTCCTGCCTCCCTTAGCCCTAGTTACTAGATTGCGGTTTACAGGTTGTTTTGTTTTTTCTTTCCTTTTAATTGGTTTTACTCTTCATGCCAAGTTGCTTTAAGGATCTAAATTTTTTTAAGTACTAGGGAAAGCTTTTATCTGCCACCGGCCAGGACTGGAGAGATGAGTTTGCAAATGTTCCACCTTCATGCTTTGCCCCATATGAGGCTCTCTTCTATCCCATTTGCATTCAGGGGAGTTACTCTGAGTTTGGTCCATGACAGCCACTGGTCAGGAAAGGAAACAAGGTCATGCAGCTGTGTTAGCCTCAACAAAGAAGGCAGGAATACACTATGCTCAACCAGGGGAATGCTGCCTTCACTTCTCCCTAAAATGAGGAGAGGAAAGGAGAGTAAAGGAATGAGAGGAGCACGTGCAACCAGCTTCCTTCTCCCAAACACTTTTCATAAGAATTCATGTCAAAGCCACAGACACAATCTGGGCCAGTGGTTTGAGGGGGTGAAGAATCTGGATTCCCTCAGTTGGTTTGACTTGTATGAACTCAATTCAATTCAACAAGCTTAAGTTTATATATCACTAATTATATCTATTACCATCACTGTATATCTATTATCATCACCTCACAGGCATACCATAGTTCCAGCCTGTGGGCATTTTAATTAAGGAAAGACGACTAGCGATGCATAGAGTTCAGGATGAGGAGGCCTTTGCTATCAAGTGCAGAAAGAGAACAGCATGCATTCTATAAAAACAACAACAGCTTTGCTCTTTCTGTGGTATACTTCCTTTTGCTTTTGTTTAGAGCTCCCTTGGGGATAGAGAGGAAGCATGAAGTGGCAAAAGAGAGAGGTTAAATAGCATGAAGCTGATAAATGAAGACAAAAGGGGAAAGAACTATCAAGAGAGCAAAGTGATAGAGCTGGAAAGACCAAGCCTTGTCCAGGGCATCTTAGCTCACTGCAATACAGAAGCTTTAACCATTTTGCCTGGGATTGATTCAAAAACCCGTGAACCACTGAATATATCATTATCCAATTTTATTGAATTAGTTTGCAGCACATATTTTTAGCACTTAGGCAAACATTTCTGTGCAATTTAGATCTGAAAGTCAGGGTTTAGGATTTGGGATTTATAGGGAAACAACCCTAGCCCCACTTCCTCTCAATGCATTGGTGGAGGTTGGGGCTGCAAGGTGAAGGACCACGTAATACAAGCTGCCCTGCCTTCCTCTGGCAGCAGTTACACAAAGCCAAGCAGTTGTCTTGACCTCAGAAATTCTCAAAGTCTTTAACAGATGAATGTGCAATATGGCACTCCAAGAGGGAGGTACAGTAGGTTACATGTCACAAATATATTTAATCTTTGAATTCCTCCCCTTTAATTTCACCTACTGATCTATTAATACCTTCTACAGGGTCCAATGTGAAAAACACTAAGTGGGATGGTTAATTGTATGTGTTCCCTTGGCTGGACCATGATGACAGATATTTGGTCAAACATTATTCTGGATGTTTCTGTAAAGGAGTTTTTGGGTAAGATTTGCATTTAAATTGGTGGACTTTGAGTAAAGTAGATAGCCCTCCATTTCATAGGTAGGCCTCATTCAATCGGTTGATGCCTTGATCAGAACCAAAGGTTGACTGTCCCCAAGTAAGAAGGAATTCTGCCAGCACATGGCTTTCTTTTTCCCATAGGATATTGGGGTACAGGTGGTGTTTGGTTACATGAGTAAGTTATTTAGTGGTGATTTGTGAGATTTTGGTGCACCCATCACCCGAGCAGTGTACACTGCACCCTATTTGTAGTCTTTTACCCCTCGCTCCCCTCCCACTCTTCCTCTCAAGTCCCCAAAGTCCATTGTATCATTCTTATGCCTTTGCACCCTCATAGCTTAGCTCCCACATATCAGGGAGAACATATGATGTTTAGTATTCCATTCCTCAGTTACCTCACTTAGAATAATAGTCTCCAGTCTCATCCAGGTCTCTGAGAATGTCATTAATTCATTCCTTTTTATGGCTAAGTAGTTTTCCATCATAATGTATACCACAGTTTCTTTATCCATTTGTTAATGGATGGGCATTTGGGTTGGTTCCATGATTTTTGCAATTGCAAGTTGTGCTGCTATAAACGTGTGTGCAAGTATGTTTTTGCATAATGACATCTTGTCCTCTGGGTAGATACCCACTAGTGGGATTGCTGGATCAAATGGTAGTTTTACTTTTAGTTCTTCAAGGAACCTCCACACTGTTTTCCACAGTGGCTGTACAAGTTTACATTCCCACCAGCAGTGTGGAAGTGTTCCCTGATCACTGCATCCATGCCAACATCTACTGGTTTTGTTTTGTTTTTTATTATTATGGCTATTCTTGCAGGGGTAAGATGGTATCATATTGTGGTTTTGATATTGCATTTCCCTGATCATTAGTGATGTTGAGCATTTTTTCATATGTTTGTTGGCCATTTGTATATCTTCTTTTGAGAATTGAGCAGACAGCTTTTGAACTTCATTTACAACATTAGCTCTTCCTGGTTTGCCAGCAGACTGCTTTTGGACTTGAACTGCGTCTCTTTCCTGAGTCTTCAGTCTGCCAACCTTCTCCATCAGATTTTGAACTGGCCAAGCCTCCACAATCACATACACCAGTTCCTTAAAAGAAATGTCTTACACACACACAGACACACACACACACACACACAGACACCCTATTGGTTCTATTTCTTTGGAGAACCCTAATACATTAAGTTAATGTAAATTTGGAAAATAGAATGGCGTCTATTTTCAGATGGTCAGATTAATTGTAATTCTTGGTGAAAAGAGCAATGCACATTTCTAATGTACTATACAAACAGATTTTGAGATAAAGGGCAACTAAAAAACCCAGGCACCAAGATCAAATATAAAACATGTCAGAACAAACACAATTTTTGAGAAAAGCATTTTCCTAGCCCAGGGCATGGCCCAGGGCAGAGAAAAAGCACCTGGAGAAGAAGGAAGAGCTCAAAACACCAATCAAAAACACCGTAAGACCTCATACTGAGGTCTTATCTAAAGCAAGCCAGATGGACACAAAGCTTTTAGCTGACAATGCAGGCAGGGGCTTCAACTCGGGGCTGGATTATGTGTTCACATTCTAAAAGTAAGGCCACAGAAGGAGGGATGTGGGGTCACATGCTTCTCCATAATAAAGACATAGCCAGAGGAAAGCTGCAAACAAGCCACCCCTAAAGGGTAGAGTCCACGTAAGGTTTGGAAGGGAAGGGCCGAGACAAGATCCCAGGACACTTGCTGATCTTTTCACCTGAGGTGAGGTAAGGTGTCAGGAGCAAGCAATCCCACCCCTCTGGCAGAGGCTTCACCTTCTCATCTCCTCATATGTGCTACTTTGAAGCCTCTAAAGTTCTTGAAGCTTCTACTAGAGATTTCCCATTTCCAAGCATCCCAAACAGTGCAATTTTTCCTTAACCGTTCTTATGATCTACCCACTACCTCACATATTGACTACATTTATTTGATTTTAGTACTATATAGTCTCCTAAAAGACTTGATGTTTATAGTAAAAATAAAAGGACATATAGTAAAGAGGAGTCAAAGACCAAAGTCAACAAATAAAGGGGGAAGGAAAGGTCATAAGAACAAAGCAATAGAAAGATCAGCCAAGTTTGAAATTCAATTCAACAAGTGTTGACTACAGATATCTTTCCAAATGTAACTTACCCACCAGTATAGCGTGGAGGTTAAGAGGGTTGCCACTTACTAGCTGTAACCTGAGGCCAAGTTACTTCACGGTTTAGTGCCTCCATTTTCCTATCTGAAAACTAGAGACGGGGGGGGGAAAAAAAACCTTTCCCAGAAATTGACACAACTTCAAATTATTGTCTATCTCTCTCATTCCTAATCTAGTAAAAGTTCTTGAAAGAGAAGTCTAGGAGAGGGGAAAGAAACCAACATTTATTATGTACCTACTGTAGATTAACTCTATAAATTATGCATTTAGTCATCATAAACTTGTGAGAAAACATTTTTATCAATTATATAGACAAAATGGAGTCATGGAGGCTCCAAGGCTTAGATCAGAAGTTACAGGTGACCTCAGATCTCCTCTCTTGCGATGCATACCGTGGAGTCATGCTCCACATAGTGGAACTCCTAGGCTCCCTGCCTCAGAATCACTCAAAACCAGTCACTTGTTAAAACCAATGATTCCCAGGCCCTCACCCAGACCTATTTAATTACAATTGCTTGATGGTAGTGGTTTTAATAAGTCACCCACCACCATGATTCCCCTGTACACTCAAGAGCCATTGACTCAGTGGTTAGGAGAATGGACTCTGAAGTTGGGCCTGGTCCTGGTGTCGCTATGTTCGAGGTGTGTGACATTGGGCACATTACTCAACTTCTCTGAGACTCTTTACTTCATTCCAAACATGGAGATTACAGAACATCCTTCATATGGTTGCTGCAGTGATGAAATAATGAATGTCAGGTGCCAGGTTCAGAGTCTGGCACTTAGTAAGTATGATCATTTCCTTCACATGAGAATAACTTAATTTCCTCTTTGCTTTCTCATTCAACTTCACAATTCACTGTATTTGCTTTTAAGTGGAATCACTTAAATGATTCCACCATTTAAGTGAAATCAGCTGAGCAAATATGACCTCCTTGCTAAATCCAATCGCTTCTTTTCTGTTCTCATGTAGTTTTCTATCCACTCTGTCTATCACTTGTTCATCAGAAATGTATTGTGGCTCTGCCCTGGGCCATGCCCTGGGCTAGGCATAAGGAATGCCATGGTGAATGCAGCAGGCATAATCCCTATCCTCATGGAACTTTCAAGCTTGTGTTGGGGACATGGATCTCTATAAGTAACCACATATAAGTGTAACAAGTTTTGATATGAAAGAAAAGAACAGAGTGCCCTACAAGCGAATGACAGAAGGGACCTTTTGTCATAGAGGATCAGGGAAGGTCTGAGACCTGAGAAAGAGCCAAGTATGGAAACAGTCTTTCACACAGAAGGAACAGCAGCAGGTAGGAAGACCCCTGAGGTGGAAAAGAGCTTGTCACATTGGAGGAAGCAAAAGAACATCCATATGGCAGGACAAGAGGAACGGTGGTATGAAATAAACCTGTAAATAAGCATGGGCTTAACCGTGCAGAGCCTCGTAAACCATGGTGAAGGTTTGGGTTGAATTCCAAGGGCAACTGGAGGCCATGGGAAGACTTTGGGCTGGAGTATGATCCCATCACTGTAGCAGTGATTTGGAGAAAAATTAGAAGGGGATTAGAAGGGAAGCTGAAAGATCATTGGGTTTGCAGAGGCTTGGATTTGAGTACTGGAAGCTGAGATGGGAACAAGTGAAAGGATTGGGGATGAATTTTTGGTGGAGAATTGAGAAAATTTGGAGATAAACTGGATGTGGAAGATAAAGAAGGAAGAGGTGCCAGGAATTACTCTCAGGGCTGTTTTGAACAATGAGCCATTTACCATTTTTGGTGGAGCCATTTACCAAGGGGAGGCACTAAATCCCTCTCTGGGGAATATAATATAATCTTTACATTTCTAAAATCTTCCAAATGACTCTGATGGCTGACCCTATTTAAGAAGGCTCAATCTAGAGAGGTGGCATAGAGAATAATGGTTACATTTAATGGCTAGTCATTATATCTTTCTTTGGAGGTAGCTTGTCTTGTTCAAACCTAGTCATGAACTGGCCATATCACTGGGAAAGTTAGTTTAATCATCTATAAAATGGAAATAACTGGTTCATATGGGTATTGTAAGATATTAATCTTATAAAACATTTGGAGTACTTCCCAGCTACTATTTTTAGATTATTCACTTGAATAAGCCAGGTGTTTTCACATCTGTAAGCTTTAGCTCATTCCCTGCCTTTTGCTTGATGTGTTCATCTCCCCTTGTGAAAATTTTCTATTTGTTATTCAGAGATAGCTTTCCTCTGACTGGTACCTCAAACCACCACCCATCCAAGCCAGTCATCTGGACCATTTCTCCTGCTTGCATGGGCTCACTGTTCTGTATGGATTCTTCCACCATAGAATTTACCACATGGGTTAGAGTTATTTATTTATTTATTTTTGGTCTTCTGAACAAGACTTAGAACTTTTGGAGGTTGCTGATCTTGTCTTATACAAATTTATATCCACAGAACCTAGTCTGTTGTTGTAGCTTGAGGCACAGAATGAATTTGATGGATTTAATTGAATTTAACTAAATTAAAAGCATAATACTCTCAGGGAACTCATCTCACAATCTAAGCCTCTTGCTTAATTAAAGTAGCCTGTGAATGCAGTCATAGCAAGCTACAGCCAATGTATAGAAAACATTCACCCTACATGGCTATTTAGGCCCAAACTTAAGCCTAAACCAGTCATGCCAGGCATAACACCTTTCTTATCTGTCTCTCACCTCTGCTTTGCTCTTCCTGAGCAATGTGGGGCCCATGCCTTTCTGAGGAACAGAGGAAGGAGGAAGGTGGGGTGGGGAGGAAGAAATACTCCTACAACTTTACAAAACCTTCCTTCACCCCTCAATGCAGGAAGGAAGGTAGAGAGAGTGGCTGTATGTGCTGTATTAACAGGCATGCTCAGGCTTGTTTGAGTCCTTACTTTTTTTTTATTTTGTTTTGTTTTGTTTTTATATATATATTTTTTTTTATTATACTTTAAGTTCTAAGTCCTTTCTAACCACCTGACTTTGTGCGGAAGGTCCAAACACCATTAGGCAAACCCCAGTAATGTTACAAGCACAGTGACCTATCCCAGAGCAACTTTTTTAAGAGGATCCGTGGTTTTTACCACGCCTTTGAGTGGAAGCAGAATTTGAACTCTCTCATACTAATTCTTGTGGAGCCTTCAACCTCCATAAAGTGTGCAGGAGGTACTCATCATACATTTTAAACTAAAATAATTTGATTAAGCGTTTGGGTCTCTGAGGGAAAAGTTAAAGAGGACTCTTCACTCTATTCTTTAATTTCGAGGCAAATGGACACAACAGGAGGTAGTCTGACATGTAAAAATAGAAACCTTTACAGCCAAGCAGATCTGGGTCTAAATCCTGACTCATTTACTCTTTAGTTCCGTGCTCATTAAAGTTAATAATGATGACAATGATGATAATCACTAGCACTTACATGTGCTTACTACATGCCAGGCTCTGTTCTAAGTGCCTCGCATGTATCAACTTATTGAAGATACCACCACCATATTTTATAGTGAAGGAATCTGAGGCACAGAAAGGTTTTGTAATGGATACAAGTTACTAAAGAGCCGAGCCAGAATTCAAACCCAGGCAGCTGGGCTGCAGATATCCATGCTAATATACACTGTGCTTCCCTGACTCCCACGTACCTCTGGAGCACAGCGTCTGGCTTTCAGAATCTGAGTTTCCTTCCCTGTAAAGTGCATATGATGAGGCCAACCTTGGTGAGGCCTGAAGGAGATAGTGTACATTGAACCCTAGACACCAGAGGGGCACCCACACTAGAGTAGGTGCCTCTAATGTCAACTTGTACACTCACAATGTCCTATCAGATTTCTAAGTAAACTCTAATAAAATTCTGAGATGTCTAGAGTGCCCAAGAACAGCAAATGTGTGGGTGGACTGAACAAATTGGGGTTTTGAAATTTACTGTTTAGAACCTTCCACTGATCCAGAAGGCAGTCATAGTCTGTGATGCCCACTATCTCAATATTTCTAAATTAACTATGTCTTTTGTTACAGGCTAGAAGCCCACCAACTGCTAACAACCAGCTGGAGGGTAAGTCAAAAGCTATGAGAGCCCAGAAGGAGAACAATTATTTAGACCTGGAGGGGCCAGTTGGGAAAGTCTTTGAAGGGTCTTCAGAAAATGGACCAAAAGAAAAGAGGAAAAGTCATTCTACTGAGAGGTGTTTGTGTAATCAAAGCAACCGAGGCCTAAGAACTCACAAAAGATTAGAAAAGGGTAAAGGATGCCTGGAAAGCCGGACTAGGAAAAGGCTGTGAAGGGCCCTGAAGGTCACATGTCACATGTTGCCTGCAGCATGCAGAATCAAAACATGATAAATCATGTCTTGAATCATGACATATGAAGCATGACACACGAATCATGACATGTGACATGTTGAATGTCACATGTCACATGCCGTAGGCAGCCATCAAGAGTATTTGAAAGGAAAGTGTATAATCAGGCCTGTGCTTTAGTAAGACAATTTGTATAGTGTTCAGTGTGGATTAAAATGGAGAACACAGGTATCAGTTTGACATCGACAGTACAGGAAACCATTTGGGTTTCTTGTACACCAAAATATTAAAACATACACGCAAACACACCAACACATTAAAATCTTGAGAGAGAGGGCCAAAAGTTCTTTGTCGCTGGACTAAAAGTGGAAATAAATGTTTACAACCTCTAAGGTGGATTAAGCTAAGAATTTGGAGTTGTTGGCAAAACTGCCACATAAAATTTCAGACATGCAAAGAAATGCAATCGTAGACTTATGCACATACTTCCACCAGAGAAGGGAATCTGGGCAGAGTGTTCAAAGCTTAAGAAATTCCTTTGCTCTTCACCAAGAAGAGCCAACAGAGTTTTCGTTGAATCAACTCTTATATTCCCTTAAAAAGAAGTTGATAGTGTTGTGGAAAACTCACCCATTGAAGTGACAACAAAAACAGCAACCCAGTATGAGTTAACTGGTATTATGTTAAAGGGACAAGTAACTGCACTTTTGACACACATCCTCTAAAAGGTAGGGTGGGAGTGTTTCAAAGAACCAAGTCTGAGTAATAGAAAAGCATATACCACTTCCCCATATACACGTTCGAGCATGGGGGAGCAGGAAGCTGGGTAATTGAATGCAGTTGTGCACACTGGCAATTTTCCCGCCACATACCATTTCTTCGGTGTCTCTCCCAAAATTCTCCTCCTAAGTGGCACATCCCTTTATTGATCATCTTTCCCCATACTGATCATCCTCAGCAATCATGTGAGTTATTAGTCTAAGTATTTGTTTTTCTCAAATATGGTCTTTTAACTACTCCCTAAATATTTTATATATACATAGTTTGTTTTCCCAATTTAACTACAAGCATTTAAAAAATGGGAATATTTGTCTATATTTCTGTAATTTTTCATCATGCCTTATATGGTATATAAAGATCAACAGCAATAAAACAACAACAGTAATAATAGCTAAGACCTTTTGAATACTAACTGTATGTTCAGCATTATTTCAACAGCTTTACAGGTATTAACTGATTTAATTATTACAACAACGGCATGAAGTAGATACTACTGTTGTCATCAGTTTATACTTGAGGAAACTGAGTTATGGGATGGTTAATTATCTTTTCCATGGTCACAGAGCCATTAAATGTATGATCTCAGACAGTCTGACACCTGAGCTGTGCTTCAATGTACCTGTTAAGATATTCTTTTTCTTGAATTCAAATTCTGAAAGGAAAACAGAGTTGAAAAATCAGAGGCCCTAGCTAATCAAGTAAAGTTTTGCTTTAAAAACAGCAAAAAACAATCTTCCTAAGGTCTCTGCAACATTTTGTGGCCCATCACAGAACAGGGTCATCTTTGACTTCTACACCAAGGAAAATGTGGCTTTTGGATTCTTGGACAGAATCTACTGCATGGCCTCTATCTTCATATGCCCTTGCTGGGATCCGAAGATAATATGAATAAAGTAGATATAGTGGAAGTGAGTAGAAGAAACATCCTGAACAAAAAACACTTGTTCCACTTGGCCAGCTACCTATATTCTCATCAAGGGAGAGTTGGCCACAGGTAATACCACATCAAAGTGCAAACTCTGGATCAACTTGCACTTTTACTTATTCCTACCTTTGACACACACATAGCATAACATGTATAATTCTTATTCTGGGCATAGTTGGTGGTAGGAAGGTTTTTATACATTTGAGATTCTATTTGGTGAGCATATGGTAACAACACAAGAAATGTGCCATCAGACTACTGTTCATCAGCTTACGAAGATGGCTACAACAATTCTTATGATTCTTGTGCACATGTTTCTTTGCCATGCAACTTTGTCACCCCTTCCCATCAAGACATAGAGTCCATTTCTTTTTCCCTTTAATTTGGCCCTGTGACTTGCCTAAAACCAACAGAAGGCTGCAGAAGGGACATCATATGACTTCAGGGTCTCAGCACCAAAAGGCCTTTCAGCTTCTGCTTTCAGGCTGTCATTGCTGTGAGATAGGAAGCCTGGGCCAGCCTCCATGAGAATGAGAGACCACACCTGGTCAACAAGGAGAGCCAACCTTCAGCCATGTGAGTGAGACCATCCAGCCTCAGTTAAGCTGCCAGATGACTGAAGCCAGATAAGTGGCCCCAGGCAAGACCAGCAAAACAGCCAACTGGCTGAGCCCAGCCCAAATTGCTAAGGCATAGCAATTTAGGACAAGATAAATTCTTGTGTTTTAAATCAGGATTTGTTATGGAGAAATGGATAACTGATAAAGCTCCAAATCCTAACTGAGACAAGAAATTCAACACCTTTTATATTACCATGATACAAACATTATTTTCTTAATAGTCATCATTAAAGCTTTGTATGTTTAACTGCCCTTCCACTACTACAACAGCTACTGTGCTGGTGCATTCACATTCATGCATACACATAAAGACACATTCTCCAGTTTCCCAACTAGTTACTCATATACTCTTTTGGGCTTTCATTTCTCAATATTGCTATATTTCCAGCTCAGTCCGTTTAACTAGCTTCATTCCCATATATCCAGCTCTTCCTGTCTATGAAGAGTAGCTTACCATTACTTACTATGTGCCAGGAACTGTTTCTCACTATCACTTTATCAGGCAGATAGTTCTCTATCAATAACTACTGAACAGATGACTTCATCTAGTCAACCATGACATTAGAATCAATCGCAAGATAGAGATAGGAATCAAAGAGAAGAGATAAATATGTTACCCTTATTACTTATTTTTAAAATATTTATATTGGAAAATACGATTGCGACACCTACTAACCCACACAAACACAAGAACATTTGGGCAACCACAGGCCTCCTCCAATGCAGATTGGTGTGTGAAAAACTTACAGCATGGAGGATTAAAAAATGTATATTCTCTGAAGGCAGATATGCCCTTCCAGATACAAGAAAATGAATGAACCATTAATGCTGAGTTCTTTCTCCCAAGCTGACCAATCAGTTGTGACGATTCCTCTCCCCTAGGAATAGTCACTCTTGAGAAGTCACAATTGTAACATCGATGGAGGTTTCCTATAGAAACATAAAGACTGGGGATTATGTGTTTCCCCTATAACAAATTTTGTCCTTATCTTGTGACTTTCCATTATGTTTCCAGCCTCAACATCTTCCCTAAGCCTCAGAATTATATGTACACCTGTCTATTCAGTCTCTGCTTGGAAGCCTAATGGGTATTTCGAACTCAATATGTCGAAGAGGATACTCCTCATTTTTTTTTTTAACTATCTCTTCACTCCTCTTTAGTTTGCTAGGGTTGCCATAACAAAATAAGGCTGGGAAACTTAAACAGCAGAATTTTATCCTCTCACAGTTCTAGAGGCTGGAAGTCCAAGATCAAGGAGCCAGCAGTGGTTTCTCCTGGTATCTCTCTCCTTGGATAACTTCTCACTATGTCCTCACATGGCCTTTTCTTTGCACACACATATCTCTGGTGTCTCTTCCTTCTTATAAGGAATCAACCATATTGAATTAGAGACCCACTCTTATGATCTCATTTAACCTTAATTACCTCCTTAAAGGCCCTATCTCCAAATATAGTCACATTAGAGGTTAGGGCTTCAGTACAGGAATTTTAGGGGTAGGGCACAATTCAGTTCCTAACAACCCCTCTCACAATCTTTCCTATTTTAGGAAATGGCACCACCACTGATTAATTGCTTAGGCTAAATTTTAGGAATCATCTAAGATTCCTCTTCCCCTCATACCCCACATCCAATCCATTAGGAAGTTATGTGTGTTTTACCAATTTCATATCCCACCACCTCCACTATGGACTCCAGGTTTTGCCATCTTGTTCTGCCTGCTCTACTGTAATAGTCTCCTAAATGGTTATACTGGTTCCTTTCCTGCCCTGCTACAGTCCATTTCTCACACATCCACCAGAGTCAATCAGATACCATTGAAAGTAAATCAGATACCATTGCTTCCCTAATTTGCAATCTCTAGTGACTTCTCATTATGCTTAGAATAAAACTCAACTCCATTTTACAACCCACATTCATCTACCCTTGCCCACCTCACCATCCTTACTACATATCACTCTTCCCCATCATTCACTCAACTCCAGTCACTTTGGCTGCCTTGACTTTCTTCAAGCATCCAAAGCTCACTTTGGTGTCACAACCATTGCATGTGTTCGTCCTTGTCCATCCACCTGGAACTCTCTGGATGTGTCTCCCCCCTTTTCATTTCACTGATATCTCTGCTCAAATGTAACTTTCTTAATAGAGCTTTCCTAACTCTATTTTAAACACACCTCATGACTTTCAACTCCTTTACCTTCCTTTATTTACTTTCAAAATATTTACAACTGCTTGAAATTACATTGCATTTTTATTTGTTTATTGTCTAGTCTTCTCCACTAGGTTGTAAACTTCCTGAGACTTTTTGTTTCTTGCTGTACCTGTAGCACTGAGAAGGGTCCTTGAAACAAAACAGACCCTCAACACATATGCATTGAATGAAAATAATTTATGCAATCTAAATCATTCTGATTTGGAAATTTGATCATGCCACTTCCCATCTTAAGCTCTCCAATGGCTTCTCATTCCTCTGTGGATAGACTTGAAGCATCCAATATGGTGTACGAGACCTTCCTAATTTTCAGTTTTACCTCTAGCAACTCCCACCATGCAGCTTGAGCTCCAGTCCTCCCTAACCTTTATGAAGACTAGAACTGTGCTGCTTCATCTTGTAATCCCTGGAGTCTAGCACAATACCTGACACAAAATGGTTACAAAGCAGCTGGCATTAAGTGGCAGGAATTATGCTATAAAACAGAGAGTGTATAGAGTCTTGATTTTACATTTCACTAGCTGGTTACTTTATTGACAAAATGGTGATAATAAAATCAGCCCTAGCTATTTCTCACAGGTGATTTAAAAATCAAATTTATATAAAAATATTTAGAGAGCACCTACTATGTGCTGGGCACTGTCCTATGTGTTGAGGGTACATTAATGAGTGAAATAGACAATGATTTCTGCCTTCATGGAATTTATGTTCTAGTAGGTAAAAGACTACACACACACACACACACACACACACACACACACACAGGTAATAAGTGCAATAGAACTAATTCAGGGAAGGAGAATGAGGAGGGCCTGGTGCAGTGCTTATGCACATTTTGTACTTGGTGGTCAGGAAAGGCCTCATAGAGATGATGACATTTGAACAGAGACCCAAAGGGGTTGAGGGAATAAACCATGTAGACATTTGGGGAAAGAATATTCCAGTCAGAGGGAACAATAAATGCAAAAACCCTGAGGCAAGAACATGTCTATAGTGTTCAAGACCATATATTCTGGGCCATAAAATAAATCTCAATAAATTTAAAAGAATTCACACAATATAAAGTGTGCCCTCAGATCACAACAGAATTAAATGAAGCTCAATTTAATAAATAAAAATAAATAACAGAAAGCATCTCTGGATAATCCTCAAATATTTGGAAACTAAATAACACACCTCTGAATACCTCATGAATCACAGAATAAATCAAAAGAGAATGAATGGAATGAAATTGAAAACAGAAATTATTGAAATTTGTAAGATACATCTAAATTTATGAAACTCAAACACCCATATCAGAAAAGAAGAAAGGTTTGAAATTAACAACCTCAGCTTCTGCTTTAAGAAATTAGAAAAAGAAGAGAAAATAAAACCCGACCTAAGGAGTAGAAGGAAAATGATAAAGATCAGAGTGGGAAACAATGAAATAGAAAATAGAAAATGATAGAGAAAATTAATAAAATTAAAAACTTGTCCTTGAGAAAATCAAAACTGATAAACCTTTCATAAAACAGATCAGAAAAAGAGAAAGAGAAAACACAAGCTACCCATATTAGGAATGTGAGAAGTGACAGTCCGGATTTGACCAATAATAAAAGGAAAATAAAGAAATATTATGAACAACTTTATGCCAATAAACTTGACAACTTTGATGAAAATGTACACATATCTTGAGTAGTATAAGCTATCGATACAGTTTTGACCCACGTTCCCATCCAAATCTCAAGTTCAACTGTAATCTCCAATGTTGGAGGGAGGGCCTGGTGGGAGGTGACTGGATCATGGAGGTGGGTCCTTCATGAGTGGTTTAGCACCATCCTTTTAGTGCTGTTCTTGTGACAGTGAGTGAGTTTTCATGAGATCTCGTTGTTTAAAAGTGTGTAGCACCTCCCATTTCATCCTTTCTTGCTGCTCTGGCCATGTGATCTGCCTGCTCCCTCTTCGCCTTCCACCGTGATTCTGTTTCCTCAGGCCTCCCCGGAAGCTGAGCAGATGCCAGCACCATAATTCCAGTACAGCCTATCAAACTGTGAGCCAATTAAAACTTTTATTTATTTTATTTATTTTAAAAAAATTTTAATTTATTTATAAATTACCCAGTCTCAGGTATTTCTTTATAGCAATGGGAGAACTGACTAATACAGCTATCATAATGCATTCAAGAAGAAACAGAAGACACTAAATAGCCCTGCATCTATTAAGGAAATTAAGTTTATTTTTAAAAATTCAATTTATAAAGAAGTATATGAATGAAAATACTTTCCACGAAGTAAATCCTAGGCCTGAATTATTTCATCTGTGAATGCTAACAAACACTTAAGCATGATATAATACTCATTCTATGTGAACTCTTCTAAGAAGTTGAAGAGGAGTGAATACTTCCCAACTCATTCCACAAGGCTAGCATTACTCTGATACCAAAATCAAAGACATAAGTAATGAAAACCATGGACCAATTTCCCTTGTGAGCACAGACGAAAAATCCTTAGCAAAATTTTAGCAAGTTGAATGTGACAATACCTAAAAGAAGACCAAGTAGAGTTTATCCCAAGAGTGCAGTGTTGGAGGAAAAATGGGGACATTGTGGCTAGGCTGGAATGAGCCAGGGAAGTGAAATGAGATTTGAGAACTAAAGAGAACTAGATCATGTGGGCCAGAGGATTTGTTCCTGATCATCATGACCGTGAACTCAAACAATTAATACTAGTAGTGTGAATTTTAGGCCTCTCTACTGGAGAACAGAGAAAATTGAGGGGTGGTGGGGACTGGTAAATACCACAGAGAGAATTGTCAGCCTCATTGCAAGGCCTTGATTTTTAATCTGAGTGAGATATAGGAAAACCATTGAAGAGTTTTGAGCAGAGGAGTGATATCATCATTTTACTGCATTTTAGTGATCTATTTTATTGAGAACATATTTTAGTGGAGTGAGACTGGAATCAGGAAGACCAAATAATAATATGTAAGTCAAAGTATTCAGTAAATTATAAATGATTCACATACCAATAATTACTCAAATATTGCAATAACTTCATCATTCTCTGTCATAGTTTAGTGCACCATTTCTGACAAGCTGCTTTATATATACTTACTTTTTTATAGATAACAGTCTTTTGATAAAATACATTTTGCTAGAGAGGACTCTCAGAAGAATGTGGGGAACTTTGCTTGGTTATAGGTTGATCATTGAAGCCCAGTGGAATTTTGCCCAACTCTTTTATTATACATCCCTCAGTTTTATTGTCAGAAATAAAATGTTATGCTGAATGGTAAGAGCCTAAAATAATACAACATTCCTTTATACAATGTACTTGGTCCCAACTTGATTGTGATGTCAGAAATAAACAATATTTAATCATTTTCCAAGGAGCTGGTCTCCCTTGAACCAGCCCCTTGCAGTCATTGTTCTCCTGACTGATGTTATCAGAGATCCTATGCAGGATCTAATTCCTACTCATGCCAGAGCAAGCCAGGAGAAGCTCTACCAACTCCTGGGAGCTACAAAGCGATAGGTTCCCAGAGTCTAAAACTATTGGAAATGATGTTTGTCTAAAATGGCCAGAGACAACTTTTATAAGCTTCCAGGAAGTGGAGAACCAGAAAAACTGAGAAAAAAAAAAAAAAAGCCAAAACACACAAGGTCAAGGGAGCTGAGAATCAAAGACTGTGATGACAGGCAAGGCTGTGGATATGGAGTGCACCCAAGAGTTCTCTTTCATAAGGGATTGATGATGTGCTTGGGGCGGGCTGGCCATTTGCACTAAGTGGTTCAAAAAACGTACAAAGTCCAACCCATGCCTAAGTGAGTGTTGTAGCTCATAGCGATTTAATTTGTTTTGCCACACTTGAAAGTGCAATACGATAGTGAGAGTATTAAGTCCCTTTGAAGGCGGGCAGGAAGATTTTTTTGAAGGAAGTAAACACCATGTAAAGAATTGTCAGCCTCATCCACATTTCAAGTCAATTCTGCTGACATGAAAATGTTTTTCACAGGTCGAGTGTGCGGTTTCCATTTAGCACACAGGCCTTCCACCCGGGAAAGTCCAGCTTGGCAGTGGCATTTCCATCCATCTCACCAAGTTACCTATCCACTGCTGTGTGCTTTCAGCGTGATGCTTCTACAGCTGAGCATTATTTAGAAAATTATGTATGTTCATCTGTACTGAAGCAATAGTGACAGATTAACTACCTGACACACGTCATCTTGAAATCTCAGGAGGAAATTACTGCCTACAACACACACACACGACCAGCTTTTAGAGTTTTGAGGTTTCAAAAAGTTCTATTAAATGGCTTCGGAATGTTTGAAATGTACAAAACATTTCCTAGGAATTTTTATATCAATGTTTTTCCTACAGAAATGTCTGTGAACTAGAATCGTTTTCTTCTATTCTCTATATATTCATTTGGTAAACATGAAACATGTATTCAAGTCTATACTTGATACTCAGCATTCAGATATTTATAACAATGAAAAACTGAAGTCCCTGTGCTCAAGGACTTCGATTTAGTGAGGGATAGAAGTATATGCAAGTAGTTACAATTCAAAAAGGCAAGCTGATCAGAGAAATACAAATAAAGCACTAGGAGTTAAAGAGAAGGAGGTCACTAACTGCCAGGGTCATTAGAGACCAACAGAGAAAATTATATATGATCTGGATCTTGATGGACTAAAAGGAATTTATGATGGGGGGAAGCAGAAAGAGTAACATTTTAGGCAGAAAGAATAAACCTGGAAGTATATAATCATGCTAAGACTTATATGCTGTATTAGTCCGTTTTCATGCTGCTGATAAAGACATACCAGAGACTGGGAAGAAAAGGAGGTTTAATTGGACTTACAGTTCCACATGGCTGGGAAGACTTCAGAATCATGGCAGGAAGTGAAAGGCACTTCTTACATGGTGGCAGCAAGAGAAAATGAGGAGGCAGCAAAAGCGGAAACCCCTGATAAACTCATCAGATCTCATGAGACTTATTCACTATCACGAGAATAGCACAAGAAAGACCAGCTCCCATGATTCAGTTACCTCCCCCTAGGTCCACAACACATGAGAATTCTGGGAGATACGATTCAAGTTGAGATTTGGGTGGGGACACAGCCAAATCATATCACAGGCCAGATTGAGGAAGTCTGCTTTTGATAGTCTCAATATCAAGCACCTAGCTAGTGATTAATTTTGGCCTGTTCTTTGTGGGTAAAAATGATGAGATAAGTTTATGTTCATGAAATTGATGGTGATAATAATGATTAAAAATAGGATCTTTCTGTGGAACTTGGCCAACATGTCCATGTGGCTGTGCTAACCAATTATTTACTATTTTATCAACCTGCTTCCATTTTCCTATTTCTAAACCCCTTCAGTATACTTTGAGAAAGTACTATCATACATCATGACTGTTAGTAGAGCCTAGAAGATCAAAGATTTTCTCCTTTGACTATTCTAAATATAACAGTTCTTCTGAAATCAATTCATATATTCAACTTAATTCCTGCCAAAATTTCAGTGATACACACACACACACACACACACACACACACGGCAAAATTGTTCTAAAGTAAATTCAGAAAATAATAGAGATGAGAAAATTACAAAAACTAGTGCAAATACTAAAATTTGCAGATATACTAACAGATCTAACATATTACAACATGTTATATAGCCTCTGAAATAAAAACGATTTGTTACTAGGCTAAAAATAAAATCTGCAGCCCAGAAGTAGAACATATTACATATAGCACTATAGTTTCATAAAGGAGATGGCATTGGTCAATCAGAAACCTGAAGGTTTAGTCAGTAAGTGCTCTATGAGGGATCAGTTAGCAATTTACAAAGAAAAATTAATTTAGAGCCTCATCTCATTTCATAGGCCAAAATATATTTTAGATAAAGAAGTAAACATTAAAAATTAAACAACAGAAACCAGTAAAAAAAGTGAAATAAATATTTATCAAATGTCTAGATTCAAAAGCACTTAGCTTAGAAATGATAAAAGGCTTAAGAGATAAAAATAAGATTGAGCCATATACAAATTTAAAACTTTAATATCTAAACTCTAAAAATCATAAGACAAGTATCAAATTGTGAAAATGGCTACAGAAAATACTAAAAGCATTAATAACTTTATTGTATTATGAGCTTGTATTAATGGACAAAAAAATAAGAAAAAAGGCGGAAATACAAATAAATACAAAATTAACTACAAAGGGAAATTAAAAATAATTATGGTTTTTGATTATATAACTAATCAACAAACATACAAAACCTATATTCATTCTCAGTTGTAATGGAAATCCAAAATAAAACAACATTAAGACACATTTTTTTTACTGGTATAAATAGTATTTTTCTAATTGATAATATTCAATGTAAATGCAAAGATGGTACAGTGTAGAGTTTCTGTTTGGATAATTGGGTGGTCATTACTTTTATCTTCTTGATTTTATTTTTTTAAATGTCTTTAATGGTGATTTTTTTTACTTTTATAATTAAAAAAATTAAAAGTGACAACATATATGTATAGTAATTAAGAAAAATATCTTCTCGAATTGGGGCGAATTTGTAATCCTATACACTGGGCCAACTGGCATCAGAACTTCCACGGACTGTTGTTAAAGAATCTGCTCAAAAACAGTGAGATTTTTCAGTGAAGAAGGCTTATTTCCATCTATCAGGATCTGCTGAGGCAGCAGAACAGAGAACTATCTGTTGTCAATCAGTTCAAAATACTTAATAACAAAATAGGTGTTATACAGCTATCATGAGTCAAAGGCAGAATTTTTTATAGAAAAGAACACACTATAATGATTGAAACATGCATATTCAGCAGAGATTTACTCCACAGAATTCTAGGCAGCAGGATTAAAAAAAAAAACAGCATTGCTAAATTACTAAAAGCCTAGAGGTGAGTCGTGTGTGTGATAAGTGCTTCAGAAAACGTTATCATCTATTTTTCTTGTCTTTACAAAGAAACTCTCTGACTTATGATGGTTTGACTTATGATTTTTCAACTTTGCCATGAGTTTAACGGGACATAACCCCGTTGTAGATTGAGGAGCATCTGTACTTATAAAACACCTCCACCTCTACACAATTTGTTGTTGGTGGTAGTAGGGGCGGGGGCATGTTATGGGGGTGATTCTTGACAGCTCACTAATATCTATATGAAGGGGTGGATAGAATGATAAATGGTAGGTATGATGTGCTGATCGGACAAAGGGCCAAAAAGTTCAGTAGAGGAGTTGGGAAGAGAAGTGTCATGAAAGGTGACAGAAAGACCCACATGCTTATTCCTTGGGCTAAAAACCATTAATGACTTTCCCTCTGTCCTCTCAGCTTACGTAAAACACATAAGATAAAATCAAGGTCCCTCTTTTAAAATTATTTCGCTGAACTGTTGAGTCAGCAACACTGCGTGAATTTGCATCTCTACTTTTGCAAGAGCTATTTATTTACAGAGCACTGTCTTGTGAAGATGTTTTGTGGGATGTATGACCATCAAATCACTGTAATCCTGATAATAACTAGAGTCAGGAGTATGAAAGTGGGAAGGTTGGCCCCTGGTTGTATTCTGACTGCTCAAATCAGTCCTGTAAAATTGAAATAAACCTACCTGAGCCAGCTCCTATCCACCTGATAGGATACAAAGAAGACTCACTGGCCTGTGGGTTCTTACGTACAAGCTGCTGTTTTTCCCCTCTACCGATCATGGGAATTTCCAGTTCAGGAGTTTTGTTGGCATGCCGTCCTGGACAGAGTGAGAGCAGGAGGACCTGGCCACACACGTGCTTATATATCGCTTTCCTTTCTCCAGTTAGAGGTTGGAAAGGTGCTTATAGAATCACAAAAATAAAGAATAAGAATGAAACTAATTTGAACTTGGTTGTAAGAGGGTTTGTCATTTACTATATCCTTCCTGTGTCTAACTCAGAGTTAAAAGAAACCACAACATTTCCCCCCAAAACTGATGAAGACTAAATAAAACACTAAACATGAAAAATAATCAGAAAAAATAAGAGTTCATTAAGTGGCTTGATACAAAATAAATAAAAATTGATAGTTTTCCTCTATACTAGCAATAACCAGTTAGAAAACAAATACAGAAATATTTGTTTCTATTCACCCACTCCTATTCACCCCAAAATAGGAGTGGGAGTATTGAAAACCTGTAAGAAAATTATACTGAAAGTAAGTAGAAAGACATTTTTATAAAATGATCACTCCTCCCCCAAATTAATCAATATTTAATTCAACTTAAGTCTGATACGAATGTTTCTGGTTTTTTCAAACAGACTGAAGTTGTAACATTAATGTAAAAATTGGTATGGGAGATTGCCTGGAAACTTTTACAAAAAATAAAATTGAGAAAGGTAGAATTGGGTACTTGCTATGCAGCTCTTAAAACTGTCTGTAAAGGTACTGTGTTCAGTTAATCATGATGTCACTAAAAGAAGAGTCAAATCAATAGCATTCAGAAAAAGATTCATTTAACTATGGAAACTGGATATATAGCAAAATTAACATGTTCAATTTAGTGGAGTAAATTCAGACTATTTCATAAATGATGTTAAGATTGTTGATCCATCTAGAAGAAAGCAAAATTTAATTTCTACCTCACAACTAAATAAAAAGTTTCAACTGGGCTTGTGTGTGTGTGTGTGTGTGTGTGTGTGTGTGTGTGTTAAAATTTGTTTTTTTCTTGTATCTTGGCTTTTTAAGTAAGTCTATATATATCTAACTCCTTGTTTAATGGAATTTGTATGTAACAATAAATTTTGAATGCAACAATTTAACTATTTTTTTGATGGACATCTGGCATGGTTCTAGTTTTTTAAGGACGCTTTCATAAAAGTACAATTACTGAAATAAAAAAAACTGAGCATTTAAAATTTACTAGTTGTTGCTATATTCCTGGCACAAAATTCTGGAAGAAATTTCTCATTTATTTATTAAGGGGTTATTCTCAGTTGATTCATGGATGTCTTAACTTGCTCACTACTGCGCTTGATCAGGATAACAAGCATTAACTGGGCACTTTCTTTGCTCCTGACAGTAAGCAAAGATCAGGAGCAGGAGGCATAGGAATGGTGGAGGGGTACAGTAGAAACTCCTTACCCTTATGCTATTTCAAAAAAAAGTAGGGAAAAGTGCAGATTTATAAGTACCAAATTGGGTGATAGTACCTATTACATGTGCTTTAAAAGAACCAGAGATAAAAAAAGATAAAAGATTTTTACAAGATAAAATTTGGCTATTTTCTACAACTGTATTCCCCCAAAATGATTATGACTCCAAATCCACTTTGAATATAATATTTAGGGTGATTATTATGAATATTAATGTCCCTAATAATTAACTGGATAAAATAAATTCTTCTGCACCATAAGAAAATTCAAAATACATGAATGGTCCCAGGACAAAGCTAATGAAAGGGAAGGAAGAAATGTAACCAACACTTATTTATTATGTACTTGTACTGTGTCCTAGGTGCTTTGATTACATTCTCTTCTATTTTGTCCACCTCTGGCATGACATGGAAGGACAATGTATTGCCAGGAATTCTCCAAAATGAAGGACAGTTTTAGGGGCAGGAGATTTTTTTTAAAAGAGCCAGCATCTATAGAGTTCCTGCTATATGCCAAATACTGTGCCAGAACCTTGAATCACACTGCTTCTGTTTCATACATGCTCAATCCTCTAAAGTGAGCTCAAAGATGCCTTCTAACCACATGCCAAAGTAGGGAGTTCTAAGAAGAGGACGAAGTCCTCAGGCACACAGTCTTAAGGGTTGAAAGTTTTTAAGTGAGGAGTAGAAGTTAAAAGAATGTGAAAATGAACCTTGGCTGACAGAAGCCACCTCACCCAGATATGCCAAGGAGATTACCCTCCCACCGGCACAACCACCACCTGCCCCGCCACTTCCCAACAGCCAATGGCTGACTCATGAACACGGAAGTCCAGTCTGCTTCAAATCATGATAAGTCTGCTGTACTACTTATGCTCCAGAGTCCCCTATTGATCAGGCCAAGGCTAGACTTCATTAGAGGATATCCTCGTTTGGTAATTTGCACTTTCCTATGTCACTTCCCTTTTTCTGATATAGGTTTGGCCTGAAGAACACTTCCTCAATAAGTCCCTTGTCCTCAGTTTCTGACTTAGGCTCTGCTTCTGGATAACCCAACATAAAATGAAGAAAATTTGAGTTCCTGGCCATACTTCTGGTTATCACACCTAATGATTTCTGATCTTCACAATGACTCTTCGAGGTAGGGATTACTAATCCCATTTTATGAATTATTACCTTAATAATAATTCAGGTACACTGAGCCAGATTCAGCGAAAAAGGTAGGGTGCAGAAAGATAGTTCAGATAGATACTGAACTGCTTCAGTGGTTCCTATGGAGGAACTGATCAAGGCTGCCTTCAGCAGGAAGGTACTTGGCGACCCAACTCCAGGGCCCTAGGCTCTAACTTCTCACAAACCAGTTCCTTCAGAGGGAAGGCAGAGGTGAGAGGACAGAAGCTGTATCTTTTCTCAATCCATGTTACATGGTCACTCTTCTAAACCTTTGAAAATTAATCTTAGTCATTTCCGATGTCTGGCAGGTGGAATATGTTAAATATGTTTTCAAATTAACATATACCTAAGGAGTCCAGGTTCTAGATCGCAGTGCAGTTTCTCTCGGTTTGGAGTCTTCATTATTTGTCTGTTTCCCTGGAGCTAGGATTCATCCCTGTAGTGAGCCTTCTGACTGCAGCTGATAGCATTCCTCTACCACACCTTCCGATGGGGTGGTTCAGGACCAAGAGTAGATTCATAAATACACAAGCCTGGACATCTGAATGAGTTGGGACTTTCTGGATCAATCATCCAGCCTTGAGGTAAGCTTTCAAGTGACTAACAAACATGGCAAGCATGTGCTGCATAGGAACCTACTGACCAGATGGAAGAAAACTTAATTGAATACAGAGTCCATTTTCAAAGTTTAGAATATGGTGTGTTGAGATACGTTTGTTAGTTTTCTCCTTTCTGCTAGGGGACGCTGTTGAGGAAGCATTGTTAAAGTCTCTCTTCCCACTGCTGTCGTGTCTAAGTTGGAGTCTCCTAAAGAGCCTAAATGGTTGTGGAAGCTCCTCATTGGAGGGTTGAGCTTTGAAACAACCGCTGAGAGCCTGAGGAGCCATTTTGAGTAATGGGGAAATGCTCACAAACTGTGTAGCAATGAGATCCAAACACCAAGTGCTCCAGAGCTTTTGGGATTGTCACAAATGCCACTGTGGAGGAGGCAGATGCATGCATGGCCACACAAGGGGATGGAAGAGTTGTACAACCAAAGAGCTATCTCAGGAGAAGATTCTCAGAGACCAAGTGCCCACTTAGCCGTGAAAAAGATATTTGTTGGCGGCATTAAAGAAGACACTGAAGAACATCACCAAAGAGATTATTTTGAACAGCATGGGAAAATTGAAGTGATTGAAACCATGACTGACCAAGGCAGTGGCAAGAAAAAGCGCTTTGCTTTTGTCACCTTTGATGGCCATGACTTCGTGGATAAGACTGTCATTCAGAAATACCACATTGGGAATGGCCACAACTGTGAAGTTAGGAAAGCCCTGTCAAAGCAAGAGGTGGCTAGTGCTTCATCCAGGCAAAGAAGCCAAAATTGTTCTGGAAACTTTGGTGGTGGTCATGGAGGCAGTTTTGGTGGGATAGACAACTTTGGTCATGGAGAAAACTTCAGTGGTCATGGTGGCTTTGGCGGCAGCTGTGATAGTAGTGGATATGGTGGCAGTGAGGATGACTATAATGGATTTGGTAATGACACTGGTTATGGAGGAGGTGGCCCTGGTTACTCTGAAGAAAGCCAAGGCTATGGAAGTGGTGGAGAGGGTTGTAGAAACAAGGGCAGTGGCTTCTGTGACAGCTATAACGACGGAAGCAGAAGGGGCTTTGGCAGTGGTAGTGGAAGCAATTGCAGAAGTGGTAGAAGATACAATGATTTTGGCAAGTACAACAATCAGTCTTCAGATTTTGAACCCATGAAGGCAGGAAACTTTGAAGGCAGAAGCTCTGACCCCTATGGTGGTGGAGGCCAATACTTTGCCAAACCACGAAACCAAGGTGGCTATGGTGGTTCCAGTAGCAACAGTAGCTACAGCAGTAGCTACTGTTTTTTGTTTTTGTTTTTTTTTTTTTTTGTCGTTGTTGTTTGGAGACGGAGTCTCGCACTGTTGCCCCCGGGCTGGAGTGCAATGGCGTGATCTCGGCTCACTGCAACCTCTGCCTCCTGGGTTCACACAATTCTCCTGCCTCAGCCTCCCTAGTAGCTGGTGCCCACCACCACACCCAGCTAATTTTTTGTATTTTTAGTAGGGATGGGGTTTCACTATGTTGGCCAGACTGATCTCAAACTCCTGACCTCGTGATCCACCCGCCTTGGCCTCCCAAAGTGCTAGGATTATAGGCATGAGCCACTGTGCCCAGCCAGATTTTAATTACTGTCACGAGACAAAGCTTAGCAGGAGAGGACAGCTGGAAACATGACAAGGAAACTACAGGTTACAACAGATTTTTTAACTCAGCCAAGCACAGTCGTGGTAGGACCTAGCTGCTACAAAGAAGACATGTTTTTGACAATATTCATGTGTATGGGCAAAAATCTCAAGGACTGTAGTTGTGACCAATTGTACAACAGTTTATTTTAGTTTCTGTTCTGTAGAAAGTGTAAACCATGCCTATAAAGGGTTTTAATGTCAATTTTTCTTTGCACCCATGCTGTTGACTGCTCAATGTAATAGTCTGATCATGATGCTAATTAGATGTGTCCTTTAAAAAACAATATGATGTGTTGTAGTACATTGGTTGGCTGACATTAATGAAAAGACCTACCTATTAACATTGATAACTAAATCTGGACTTCTCTCTATAAAGCTACCCAATTGGGTCCCACTGGCTGAACTTTATATGCTTCAGTGGTGTCTTAACAAAAGACTGCCTCTAAATTAGACTAAGTGTCTTAGAACCCTGTGGTCTAGAGAAATGAAGTGAAATGTAATAGCTGGGAGAAACAGGGCATTATACATCTTGAAAGAACTATCTTTCAAGATAAACTAGCACCCCACTCTAGCCCAGCTTCATGGCTGACTCTCAGAGCATCATATTTTCCACTGATGGGCTGAAGATTCATAAATGTAGTAAACCACTGAAAACAATTGCTTCATAAGACTTCTTTAGAAAATTCCTTATGGTACTACATCTACAATGTAGAGGGCTTGTCTTCAGCTCCCTCAACATCTCAAATTTTTTGACACATTCAGTACATGCCTGTTATGTCTTTAATCCCAGAACACATGTATTTTCCCCTTCCAGATGATTTCTTTGCAGATTTCACAATGGAGAAGAGCTGTCACAGGTGGAAGTAATCATGCTGTCACAAAGATATTACTTTTTTCTTCCAGTGCTGGAAGGCAGTCAGGAACAAGCCATGCATTAGTTTAAGAGCCATGAGATGTATAACTCCAGTTTTTTAAAGCTCATAGTAGAAAATGAAGAGGGGGCAATGGCATAGCAGGTGAATGCATTTGGGGTGTGTTACAGACCAAGCAAGAATCAATCACTTATGTCTGTCAGACCAGATGGATCTGGAAACAGTTTAATCCTCAGGGCCAATGTGATATGTTGTGATATGTGATATGTCACAATAATATGTTTTCCCCGCAGGTTTCAAGCCTGTTTAAAAAAATGTTTTTAAACTTGAAAGGAAGACAAGTGACCAATATTATAAGGTTAATGCAGAAAATAATGGTCATAGTATTTAATAAACTTCAATTTATCAAATAAACCTGTATGTCAGTCTTTCTGGCTTTAGGCCTGTTTGCATCAGAATTATCCTGGAGGATTCTTAAAACAACAAAAATAAGCACACAAACATCTATTTAATCATAAGGGAATTTTCACCTAAAATAATCTCCCCCTGTGATGTAGATTCACACTGGAGTTGAGTATAATAATTTTGCTCTCATCAAAAATAATCGGAAAGAGAGGAGCTTTGGGATATGTCATTTTGATCTAAGAAAACGTATTGGCTTTCTTGCTGCTTCTTTGGATTCTTTTTTGCATATCATCTGGCAAGTGAGCAGGTGCACAGCTCTGATAAGCAGGAAGGAACCCCCGACCCCACCACCACTGCCTCAGAGCAAATACTCAATAAATGGTCACCTCATTTCCACCCCCCTCCCTACTCCCACCCACCAGGCAAGAAAGCTTAAACCTAGTAAAATCTCTGAGTGCTCAACATGGAATGGAAAACCCAGAAGAGCAAGGTTGGAAATTGTAGCTGGGAAGTCTCAAGTTCTCTGGTTCCTCCTGGAAGAGGGCATGAAGGTGGCTTTGTGTAAATATGGGCATATTGATTTTTATTTGATGAGCCATAGAAAACTAGATAGTCCAGAAATAAATAAAGGAACTGGGAATGTTGGAATCCACAAATATTGACCATCAGTTTGGGATTGGCAGCTTCTCTCCTTCCCATCTTTATTACAAGTTATAGCGCCGTTACCTTAGATGCACACATGCTTTACAATAATGTTTTTGAAGCCAAGCCCTAGAGATTTCTCAAATATGCTTCCTATGTCTTTCTAGAGGCCCAAGCACACACCTCCCTCATTTATTGCCTCCTATTCAACTTGCGCAGCTTTTATGTGGTTTACATATAAAGCTTCTGTTTAAGATTGTGTTGTCTGGGCGCGGTGGCTCCTGCCTGTAATCCCAGCACTTTGGAAGGCCGAGGCGGGCAGATCACGAGGTCAGGAGATCGAGACCATCCTGGCTAACACAGTGAAACCCCGTATCAACTAAAAACATAAAAAATTAGCCGGGCGCGGTGGCGGGCGCCTGTAGTCCCAGCTACTCCGGAGGCTAAGGCAGGAGAATGGCGTGAACCCGGGAGGCGGAGCTTGCAGTGAGCCGAGATAGCGCCACTGCACTCCGGCCTGGGCGAAAGAGCGAGACTCCGTCTCAAAAAAAAGATTGTGTTTACAGGGTTCCACTGCACATCTCATCCAGGTTTTGAAAAATATTTAGATTTTAGGAGTTGCATTCTACTCTAAGTAACAACTCCAAACCTGCACCATATTTATTGGGTGACTTTAGGCCACAGTACCATTTTGTACAGTAAGGTATCTTCTTATGAAACAGAGAAGATATGCTTACTTCCTTACAGGATAAATAATGTGATGCTGAATAAGATAAACCTAAAGTTACTAAGAGACAAACACTGTATATTAAGTGTTATAACCACACATCAGAAGACCATTTTAGACTGTGGTTTCAGGGTGCTAGAATATTCGAACCCTGTTTGCTTAGCTGACTAATCTAACTTTTTGGTAAGACTGGTTATATTTTTTTCTGTATAGAGAAGAGGTGATGAGAGAAAGTATTCTTTAGTTTATTCATTCACAATTTTTTAAAAAGGTCACTCTGGTTACCGCATGGAGAGCAGAACTGGTGGGGAATCTGTTCATGCCTGGGGAGGCCATTTAGGCACCTGCTGCCGTCATCAAGGCAAAAGATAAATACCTAAGTTTAAAAGCAAATTTATTTTTACAAGGTATAGATGTAAACAAGTCTCATATGCATGCCCAATAGATCTACTTTGTCCTACCAAAGGAGAAGGAGGATAATGCAGATATAAACTCTAGAACAAGACTGCCTTGGTTCAAATTCCAGCTTTGTCATTGTAGGACCTTGCCTAGACAAATTACTTAATTTTTTAATCTCTGTTGTCTCATCTTTAAAAGGAGGCTAATAGTAGTATCTGCCTTATAGGATTGTCAAGAATAAAGGAGTAAGTATATATGAAGTGTTTAGAATAGTTCCTTCCAGTCAATCAATGGTAACTTTTTTTTTTTCCCCCAAGCATAAAGGATCTAAATGGGGCAATGTGGCTAATGGCCCCTAGAGGGCAGCAGAGGAATAAGAACAGAGTGGACGACAGGTTCAGAGAAAGATGTCCTGTCTGATGGAAAAACGGGGAGAAGGGCACTGTGAATCATACAAAATGGAGACTGAGCTCAGGGCCATTTATAGCCTGCTTTGGGGACGTTTTCTAATAGTTCAAATCACTTTGTAGACAAAAATCAAGGACTGGAATAAGTGTAGTAATGAGAAGGATCCAGTCATGCATCTGAGAGCATACGTCCAATAAACCTCACTCAAAAGCTAGCAAGAAAATCTTGACTGTTGGCAGGAAGCATAGCTGATACTGAGGGCTGGGGCCTGGGTGCCTTTCCACTTGGCCCTTTCCATGCGACCTGGGCTTCCTCACAGCATGGTAGCTGGGTTACAGCATGAGTGTCCCAGTGAAATCAGGCAGCAGTGGGATCACGTTTTAATGACTCAGAAAAGACATGTATCACTTCTGCCATATTTTAATAGTTAAAAGTCTAACAAAAGCCCTCTTAGTTCCAAGGGGATAGGACACAGACTCCAACTCTTGATGAGGGAGTAGCAAGTTTCTGGAAAACTATATTAACAGGAAATACTGTAGTCATTTCCATAAAATACAATCGGTCACAAAGTGCTTTCCTAGAAGTTCATACTGGATTCTTTCTGCCTCATTTTCACATACAAAGCATCAGCAAATCCTGACAGACTGGGCTGCAAAATACATCCCAAACCTGATCTGATCTCACCATCTCCACTGCTCCCACCCTCGTCCAACCCAACATGTTTCTCTACCTGGATCACAGCAAAGTCTACTGAGAGGTTCCTCATCTCCAATTTAAAACCCCATAATCTACTATTTATAGGGCAGCCAGTGAGAACTTTGAAAAAATGTAAGTCTAAGCCTATCATCACTGCTCATCTTAGAACTATCCAATGGCTTTCAATTATGCTTAGAATAAAAGCTAAACTCCTAATGGTGGCCCACAAGAACCTCCATATTTTGGCCCTATTTATCTGTCTCATTTCATCTTCAGGCTTCTTTCCACCACACTCTGACCTTCTTCCTCTCACTTTAGCTCCTGGGTATGTTTTCAACTCAGGCACCTCTGATCCCAAATCTCTTCATATTACACTGTTCCATGATTCAAATCTGCTTGAACCTTCCCAGACCACTCAATATAAATGAGCATCAGTCCCATCACCGTCTATTCCTTAACCCTCCTTTATTTTCCTTAATGTACTTATCACTGTCTGAACTTACACTGTGTATGCATTTGAGTCCTTGTTCATAGTCTGCGTCTCCCTCTAGAATATTAACACTTTATGGGCAGGGCTTTGTTTACTGCTTTATTAACAGTGCTTAGGTCCACTCAATAGTTAAGTTGAATATTGAATAAAGAATAAAAGAAGAAACAAAACAAACAGTATAGCCTTTCAAATCAGTGGTGGTGTAAACGAAGATCTATTATCACTGTCATGAAAACATGTTTGTGTTCTTTACTAGATCTGGGCTATCCTTTCTTAGTGTCCTGTGGTTTCATGGACTAGTTTAGGAATGGTTGGTTGTTTCTAATGTGTAGCACTTAAGAAACTTTCAGCTTGAGCCTAAGTGTTTCCAGTGCTGAGGTTCAGTCATGTCTGGGCATGTTTGGTGAGGTGGTGGTGACAGGCCTCAAATAATTCAATTCTAATGAAATATTTGGCTTTAAGTGGATGAGGAGGAAAGGTACTGTGGCTTTGGCGTGGGTGTAGTTGGGGGTAGGTATAGAGGAGAGGAAGAGAACCCGAGGACAGCGATGTTCAAGTGAACATGTTATCACTCGTCTGGGCTTCTCAACACAATTGAACACACTTCCTATATTTGGAGAATTCCCCACCTCCTCTGCAGCCAGTACACTGGTCTGTGACACAGACCCAGACAATCACGTGCACCTCAGCAAGTTTTCTAATCACAAGCATGTATTGCAAAGAAACAAGTGCCACCTAGAGCCCACTCTGGTGAGAATGGCAGCTGGTGAATTCAGTTACTAGAGGGAGGGATGGCTAAGGTCACACCACGAGCTAGTACCAGCAGGAGTCTGTGCCTGGTGGAGTCAGCAGTTATTCCCACCTGGTCTGTTCTTTACTGTGACTCTGAGAATTGGTGCTGGCTGGGAAGCCTCCCAGCCTGCTTTCCGGCCTCCTGGGAAATCTTATATTCTTTAATAAATTCCTTTTCTGCTACTACTAGATTTTAATTGGTGACAACTGAGAACTCTGACAGAAAAAGATGGGGTGTTTAATTCCAGTCTACTTCACTGATTAGGCCTGACACCTAGGGAGAAAAGATGTAGAAGCCAAAATGTCAGGAATTATTTTAATAAGCAATTTTGTAAGACTTGGAGTTTGAACAGCGGTACTTTGCTCCCCAGGCAACAAAGTTCTGCATCAAGCTGGAAAATGAACACTTGCCCACTTTTCCCTGAAATACAGCAGGGTCCTGGCTCCATGGAAGCTCTGGTGAAATCGTCTTCAAACATCTTTTAGAAGGCTGAATACTTTTCCATTGAGATACACAGGACCCTTTATAAAACAGATGAAAATGGACTGCTTTGGTCAACGTGACACTTGGAGCCCCTAAAGCCAGGATGGCCTCATAAACCCCTCAGTGGTGAGGCTCAGTGGCAGTGCCTGGCTGCAGGCTCCCCAAGTCTGTGACACCCAGCAGGAGAGGGACAATCTCCTGAGACGACACCTGAGAGATGCATGCCAGGAAGGTAGCAGGTGCCATATGAGCAGATTTATCTCTGAGCATATGCCCTGATGGCTCCAAAAAGGCTGGTGGGGAGGCAACTTTGCAAGGACTTTGGGCTTTGTTTCAGGAATGAAGACAATTAACCACAGGATTTGAATATTCTGTAATTAATGTATTTTCTAACATAATCTAGTGAAGCCTGGGGAATTTTTAGTTGCATACCTCTTTACTCAACTATGTCTTAGCAGTGGTACATTATGCATATTCAAGTCATTGAAGTTGCCTAAACTTTAGTAAACTTGCTTATTCATTCTGTTGCTCATTAATTTCTCCCAGCCTTGTGGGAGAGCAACTAAAGTTAATCATCACTACCTCTCCACCTGGCTCTCCAAGGGTTGTCAGTGCCTATCCCCCACCCTTCATTCATCTCTCAACACCTCCCAGAGAGCTCCGGACATCTCTGGCATAATGTTCTGATCCAATATTTGCCTATTGGACTTCATGTCCTCACATCATTTTAGCTGCCTTTGTTAACCAAATTCCCGTAGGTATTTTATATATAAAAGGCATGAGCTTCAGGAGATGAGTGAGAATCTAATGCTTGATGATCTGTCATTGTCTCCCATCACCCCCAGATGGGACCATCTAGTTGCAGGAAAACAAGCTCAGGAGGCTGGGCGAAGTGGCTCACGCCTGTAATCCCAGCACTTTGGGAGGCCGAGGCTGGCGGATCACTTGAGGTCAGGAGCTCGAGACCAGCCTGGCCAACATGGTGAAACCCCGTCTCTACCAAAAATACAAAAATTAGCCAAGTGTGGTGGCAGGCATCTGTAATCCCAGCTACTTGGGAGGCTGAGGCAGGAGAATTGCTTGAATCTGGGAGGCAGGGGTTGCAGTGAGCCGAGATCGTGCCGCTGCACTCTGGCCTGAGTGACGGAGCGAGACTCCATCAAAAACAGAAAACAAACAAAAAAAAAACCAAGCTCAGGGCTGCCACTGATTCTACATTATAAGTTGCATAATTATTTCATTATATATTACAATGTAGTACTAGAATAAAGTACACAATTAATGTAATGCACTTGAATCATCCTAAAACCATCCCTACTGCACAGTCCATGGAAAAATTGTCTTCCAGAAAACCAGTCCCTGGCGCCAAAAAGGTTGGGGACCACTGAGTTAAAGAAGGCTGTAACCTAGACAAAGGCTGGAAATTAGACAAAGATGTGAGATCAGGCCAGGGTATACTATACTCTAAATGCAGACATTAAAAATGAAGCAGTTTGTACCTCGGCCAGGAAGACTTTTATATGATTCCTTCAGTAGTTGAAAGTGGTAAGCTGATGAGCCACATTTCAAAAGCAAATGGTCTGGGAGACACTTAAAGAAGTGAGTGTGAGGACAGCACTAGAACTCTTACGGCTCCCCACTGCCTTATCACCAAGTCCAAACTCTATATCAAGGCATGATCCAGCTCCTGCCTACTGCTTCAACATTCCTTTAAAAATAAAATATCCCAATTATCCTGATTTGATCATTATGCATGATATGAATGTATCAAAATAGCAAATGTACCCTTCCAAATATGTACATCTATTATGTATCAATAATAAAATGTTTCTTACACATAACCAGGCACTAGCCACAAAAAATAATAATAATAATAATAATGCGGTTTCTCGACTGCAGCAGGCTCATTACTCATTCTTGTGTTTCCATAATTTGTATTCTTAATTCGTAAAGACCTTTTCTACTATTTCTTCTCCTGGAGAACTCCTGCTTTTCAAAATTGGGATGCTCAAACATCCCAATGTCTCTCCTCCCTAAGGTCTCCGTCTGACTGGATTAGGTGCTGCTGGTCTGCACCTCTAAGCACCCTTCCTGTGATTTCCCCATCATCATGTTGGTGAGACAGCACGGTAGCTATCAGTAGCTTGATTGTTTCTCCTTTAATTGTAAGATTCTTTTATTATTATTATTATTATTATTATTATACTTTAAGTTCCAGGGTACATGTGCACAAAGTGCAGGTTTGTTACATAGGTATACATGTGCCATGTTGGTTTGCTGCACCCATCAACTCATCATTTATATTAGGTGTTTCTCCTAATGCTATCCCTTCCCCAGCCCCCCACCCACCAATAGGCCTGGTGTGTAATGTTCCCTGCCCTGTGTCCAAGTGATCTCATTGTTCAATTTCCACCTATGAGTGAGAACATGTGGCGTTTGGTTTTCTGTCCTTGTGATAGTTTGCTTAGAATAATGGTTTCCAACTTCATCCATGTCCCTGCAAAGGACACGAACTCATCCTTTTTTATGGTTGCATAGTATTCCGTGGTATATTTGTGCCACATTTTCTTAATCCAGTCTATCATTGATGGACATTTGGGTTGGTTCCAAGTCTTTGCTATTGTGAATAGTGCCACAATAAACACGTGTGCATGTGTCTTTATAGCAGCATGATTTATAATCCTTAGGGTATATACCCAATAATGGGATGGCTGGGTCAAATGGTATTTCTAGTTCTAGATCCCTGAGGAATCACCACACTGTCTTCCACAATGGTTGAGCTAGTTTACAGTCCCACCAAAAGTGTAAAAGTGTTCCTATTTCTCCACATCCTCTCCAGCATCTGTTGTTTCCTGACTTTTTAATGATCGCCATTCTAACTGGTGTGAGATGGCATCTCACTGGGGTTTTGATTTGCATTTCTCTGATGACCAGTGATGATGAGCATTTTTTCATGTGTCTGTTGGCTGCATAAACGTCTTCTTTGAGAAGTGTCTGTTCATATTCTTCGCCCACTTTTTGTTGGGGTTGTTTGTTTTTTTCTTGTAAATTTGTTTAAATTATTTGTAGATTCTGGATATTAGCCCTTTGTCAGATGGGTAGATTGCAAAGATTTTCTCCCATTCTGTTGCCTGTTCACTCTGATGATAGTTTTTTTGTTTGTTTGTTTGTTTTTTCTGTGCAGAAGTTCTTTAGTTTAATTACATCCCATTTGTCTATTTTGGCTTTTGTTGCCATTGCTTTTGGTGTTTTAGTCATGAAGGCTTTGCCCATGCCTATGTCCTGAATGGCATTGCCTAATTTTTCTTCTAGAATTTTTATGGTGTTAGGTCTAACATTTAAGCCTTTAATCCATCTTGAATTAATTTTTTTATAAGGTGTAAGGAATATGGCTAGCCAGTTTTCCCAGCACCATTTATTAAATAGGGAATTGTTTCCCCATTGCTTCTTTTTGTCAGGTTTGTCAAAGATCAGATGGTTGTAGATGCGTGGTATTATTTCTGAGGGCTCTGTTCTGTTCCATTGATCTATATCTCCGTTTTGGTACCAGTACCATGCTATTTTGGTTACTGTAGCCTTGTAGTAGAGTTTGAAGTCAGGTAGCATGATGCCTCCAGCTTTGTTCTTTTTGCTTAGGATTGTCTTGGCTATGCAGGCTCTTTTTTGTTTCCACATGTACTTTAAAGTAGTTTTTTCCAATTCCGTGAAGAAAGTCAATGATAGCTTGATGGGGATAGCATTGAATCTATAAATTACCTTGGGCAATCATGATATTGATTATTCCTATTCATGAGAATGGAATGTTCTTCCATTTGTTTGTGTCCTCTTTTATTTTGTTGAGCAGTGGTTTGTAGTTCTCCTTGAAGAGGTCCTTCACATCCCTTGTAAGTTGGACTCCTAGGTATTTTATTCTCTTTGTAGTAATTGTGAGTGGGAGTTCACTCATGATTTGGCTCTCTGTTTGTCTATTATTGGTGTATAGGAATGCTTGTGATTTTTGTACATAGATTTTGTATCCTGAGACTTTGCTGAAATTGCTTATCAGGTTAAGGAGATTTTGGGCTGAGACGATGGGGTTTTCTAAATATACAATCATGTCATCTGCAAACAAAGACAATTTGACTTCCTCTTTTCCTAGTTGGATACCCTTTATTTCTTTCTCTTGCCTGATTGCCCTGGCCAGAACTTCCAACACTATGTCGAATAGGAGTGGTGAGAGAAGGCATCCTTGTCTTGTGCTGGTTTTCAAAGGGAATGCTTCCAGTAGTTGCTCATTCAGCATGATATTGGCTGTGGGTTTGTCATAAATAGCTCTCATTATTTTGAGATACATTTCATCAATACCTAGTTTATTGAGAGTTTTTAGCATGAAGAGCTGTTGAATTTTGTCAAAGGCCTTTTCTGCATCTATTGAGATAATCAGGTGGTTTTTGTCATTGGTTCTGTTTGTGTGTTGGATTACTTCCGTTGATTTGCATATATTGAACCAGCCTTGCATCCCATGGATAAAGCTGACTTGATCGTGGTGGATACGTTTTTTTGATGTGTTGCTGGATTTGGTTTGCCAGTATTTTATTGAGGATTTTTGCATAAATGTTCATCAGGGATATTGGCCTAAAATTCTCTTTTTTTGTTGTGTCTCTGCCAGGGTTTGGTATCAGGATGATGCTAAATTCATAAAATGAGTTAGGGAGGATTCCCTCTTTTTCTATTGATTGAAATAGTTTCAGAAGGAATGGTAGTACCAGCTCCTCTTTGTACCTCTGGTAGAATTCAACTGTGAATCCATCTGGTCCTGGACATTTTTGGTTTGTAGGCTATTAATTATTGCCTCAATTTCAGAACCTGTTATTGGTCTGTTCAGAGATTCAACTTCTTCCTGGTTTAGTCTTGGGAGGGTGTATGTCTCTTGAAGAAACTTCAGGTCACTCTGTGTTTCATCTTTATACTCTCATTGTTTAACATATGCTATGCTTGACATGTAGTCAGTTCTCAATATATTTTTATTATTTGAATACATGATTTTGGCTCAGGCTAAAGATTCTGGAGTGATTTCTAACTTTCCAGCCCACTTAATAACCAAATACAATGACCAAAATAATTGATCAACCAAGCTCACTCCTTATTCTCCAAATTAGGATTTTAATTCAAATCTGAACTACTCTAACAGCCTCCTTAATGGCTTTCACAATGTAACTCTCTACTCCTTCAAATCTATCATGCATATAAATATCATATTTCTATTCCCCAAATGCCATTTTTTTCTCAGCCATTTCTCTGTTCACAACCCTTAAAGAAGACTCAAAGTCTTAAAAACTGTAGTGGGATAATAAAATTGTAACATTCACTTTGGAAAACTATCTTGCATTATTTCATAAAGGTGAATAGCCACATACCCTATGACCTAGCAATCCCACTCCTAGATGTATAACTTAGAGAAACCCTTACATAGGGCATGAAGAGGGAAACACAAGAAGGCATATAGGAACATTTTTGCAATGTGAAGAATCTCAACAAATTTGAACGTGCTTCAATAGAGCAGAAAATAAAAAGTGGTATAGTCACAAAAGGATATATCATACAATGGTGAAAATATACTTCAGTGACACAGACATAAATATATCTTAGAAAAGTAATACAAAACAAACAAGTTCCAAAAGCCTACAAACAGTATGACATCATTTTAGTAAAGCTCAAGACAAACAAAATTTTATGGTTATATATGCATGTGTGCTAAAGTTATCAAGTAAAAGATGGAGGGGAATAATAACCCCAACTTCCAGAATAATAGTTGCCTCTTAGAGAGAGGCAGAATTAGAAAAACACATGATACAAGCAATGCATAGCTAATATGTCATTTCCCATCATTCATCATTCATTGATCATGGTGCTTTTTTCCAAGGATTGTCTCATGATCCTTCTCAAAGCACTCCACACAGCCATTGTCCATTGGGTTGGCACAGGAACTAAAAGCTATTGTTTGTAATTCTGGACTAACAGGATTACAGTCCTGTCATAAAGGCCTTCTAAAATCTGACCAAAAATTACCCTAACTCTCTCAGCTCCATTTGGAGTAGTCTCCTCACTGCTCCTGAAATTTTCCATACTATTCCCACATGCTCATCTCTCTGAGCTCATTAAAGCAGCCTCTACCCATGCACACACACTCACCTACACACACCAACCTGAAATGTCCTTTATTTGTTTCTCTCTCCTGCTTGGATCCAACCATTTTCATAAAGCTTCCCTGACTCTCCCTGCCAGAACTGCTACCTCCCTCTTCTGAAGGCCTGATATTGACATGTCCTTTGGCATTCACAGTCTTGCGTGAGTAGATCTATTTTTAAGTATTTCTGTGTTATAATCTATGTGTTTTTTAAAGCTTCTTGAGGACAGGGCTACACTTCTTTGGAGTCTCTACAAAATTAGCATGGTTTCTCACACTGTAGATGTCCACTGATTTTTCCTGTACTTAACACTCAGCCTAAAACATAAAAAAACTCTTTAATTATAAGAAAGTCTCATGTAGTTGTCTGCTATAAAAAGAACAGACAGGAGTAAGTGAATAAAGTAGAACAGTTCAGAGTATATATGTTCTAATCACATTTTTAATTGAATTATTCATTAGTAAATTAGTGTTGGTTTTGGGAGAGAGCATGGGGGGTACCAAGTTTATTAAAGCAAGCAAGAGGATTAATGGGTGAAGTCCCAAAAAATTTTTGCATAATTTCCCCATTTTCTCTCCTACCTATATTTTGAGTGAAAACATCAGGATAAATCATATAAGAGGAATTAATGCTTATTCTTTTGTATTTACAAAGATTTATTATCTTTATAGTGCTCATTATAGAAAATTAAAAAAAAAACAGAAAAAAATAAAGGGAAAATAAACAGGAGTCCTTGAAAATCTTATTACGCAAACATAACCACCGTTTGGCATATATCCTTCCATTCTTTTCTAAATGCATGTATGTATCCACAATACATGCTATTGATATTTTATATAACAGGGTCATGTTTATTTACAGCTTGCTTTTCTACCCAGGAAATCTATCATAGGGATTTTTCTATGTCGATAAATATTACTATGCAACATCCTCTCTGATATCTAGATTGTACTCTGTTGTATGTGCATTTGGTTTCCAGTGATAGAACACCAATATGAGTGGACTTTAACAAAAAAGGAGGCAAATCAGATTGTGAAATCCAAAAAAAAGTTTGAATAATTGAGGAAAAGATAAGAATGCAGTGGAATTTCAGGAAAAACTAGAACCAGGGACTCAGACAACATTAAGACTGTTCTCCTCATCTATGTTTTTCCTTGGATCCATCTCAAGTTCTGTCACTATGGTGTGGCTCTCTCCACACAGCAGGAAAAGTTTCTCTGACTGCAATCACTGTAATTTTGGGGATACAATGTTCATAATTTCAGGACACAGGCTCATTAGTTAATTCCCACACTGTGCCAATTAGCTGTTAAAGTATGGCAACTATTATAGTACATGTGACTGGGCAAACGCAGTTCCTATGAGAACATAGCTACTGGGCAGATAAAACTGTAGATGTTCACCATGATTTGCTTAATTAATATCCTATTAATAGACATAAAGGAGGTTTAAAATTTTTATTACTGAGGAGGTTTTTTTTCTACTATTAATGCTTAATAAATATTTTAAGGATGCTATGAACTTTTTATACATCTAATTGTTAGCACGTATCTGACAATATTCTTATTATATATTCCTAAAAGTTGGATTCATTTAATTAATGTATTCATTTAATCAATTTTTTAAGTATCTACTATATACCAGGCTCTAATCTAGGCCCTAGGAATACAGCCACGAATAAAATAGAGAAACCTCTACCTTTTCAGAGTTTACATGCTAGTATGTGAAAACAGACAATAAACTAAAATACATTGGGGAGGGGCAAGGATTGCTGCTTTAAATAGATTCTAAGGGAGGGCAGCATTAAAAAGAGGCATCTAACCTGTGCACTGAGGGATGTAAGGGTGAGCCATGTGACTTTCTGAGGATAATGCATCCCAAGCAGAGGAAACTGCAAGTTCAAAGCTGTGGGGTGAGGAGATACTTGGCCTGTTCAGGGAAGGGGAGAAGCCAGAGAAGAGCTCAACAAGGTGAGGGGAGACCAGGCCATGGAGAGCATTTGCGGCCCCTGCAAGGCCTTTGACTGCTACCATGCAGGGTGGAAAAGCCACTGGGAAGTTTGAGAATGGAACTGACAAGATCAGATCCAACCTAGCACTACCCAAAATATGATATGTAAGTCTACGCCACTCCATGAGCAGTTTGTTACAGGTTCCAGACAAAACAAGTAGAGAAACTATGAACAAGCATTTAGAACATAAGAAACTTAGGTTTCTTTTCATCATTTAAATGTAATTTTCTACCTGTTGAACCTGATAATAAAATGTCTTGTATTTTGCATGTCTTTCAAACTTTAATTTTTCTAGTAATTTGTTTTGTACCATATCTTTAAAAAGCTTCAATCCATGAAGGAATGGAAATTATTAAAATTGTTCTTTATCACAGATAAGTTTGAGAAGTACTGCTTTAACTTGCATTTTAAAATCATTCTGGCTTGCCCTATTGAGAACAAGCAGGGATGGAAGAAAGAAGAATAAGAAGAAGTTGTTGTAAGTTTGGGTGGATGGTGAGGGAAGATGTTGTGTAAAAAAAAAAGAAGAAGAAGAAGTTGGCAGATGCTGTGTATATTTTGAAGGTAGAGCTTTCAGGATTTGTTAAGAAGTTGGACATTGTGTATGAGAACGAGAAGAGAGTCAGAGTAACTCAAGGGTATTTGGCTTGAGTAACGGGGAAGACCAGGAGAGGAGCAAGTTAGAGGAGTTCTGTTTTGGAGATGTTAAATTTGAGATACGTGTTAGACTGTCAAGTGGATCTTGAATTCAGGGGAGGATTCAAATACATGGAGGCTTGGAGATCAGAGCAACACAGACAATCCAGCCACAGAGTCTGAGATGGCCACAGAGGTAAGGAGAAAACCAGGTGAGTGATGCCTTGCAGGAAAGTTAAAAAAAATCAAGAAGCAAAGATAGATCAATTATGTTCAATGCTGATGATAAACAGAATGAGTATGGAGAGATGACTGCTGGATTTAGAGAAACTGGCAGTTCTTGGTGAACTTGGGAAGAGCAACTTCTGTGGCATTGGATGGGAGGAAAACCCCATTAGAATAGGTTCAAGAAGGAATGGAAAGAAAAGAATTGGGACAATGAGCATAAACAATTCCACTAGGTTTTGCTTTCAAGGTGAACAAAGAATTGGGGCCAGTGGTAAAGGGAGAAAGGTGGTTAAGAATTGTTTTAAGACGGTAAAAATGAAATGCTTGCATGCTAGTGAGACTAATCCATTATTAAGGAAAAATTGATAATGAAGGAGGATGAAACAATTGCTGGAGCATATCCTCGAGCAGGCAAGAGGGGAAAGGGTTCAGAGCACAAGGTGGGTATATAGGCACAGAGGTAGATGAGTGGGGGGATAGGTGTGGGAGCAAGCAGAAGTTCACTTCTGATTCTTCAGCTTCCGCAGTGAAGTAGCAAGCAAGTTTGTGGTTGAGCGTGGTGTTTGAGGACAAGGTGTTGGAGACAGGTGAAGGTGTACACTGGTCATCTAAGACAGTAGGAGAATTAATGGATTAGACAAGCGTAGTATGACTGCCAGACAGTACTAAGATCCTTTTGAGATTCGTGATCATGGACTTCAAGTGAGCCCAGCCAGCCGAGTTGTTTTTCTCCAGCAATGTTCAGCTGTGCTGGTGAAGAAGTGAAGTACAAGAGAGTAGGATTTTACCAGGGCTTTGGTTTTCTCAGGCGACAATGGTGACAGGAGAGAGAGACAAGAGAGCTGACTGTGGATACTAGAAAGAGATTCTAGTAATGGCTCATGAACTGCTATCTCAAAGACCACGCATTTTTTTTTATCTGTTTTGCAACTTATAAATATTTTGAAGTTATTGATGTATAATTTACACCAAACAAAATGCACCAATCTAGGCTTTCAGTTCGATGAATTTTGACACCGGTATACACCTATGTAAGCACCACCTCAGACAAGATGCAGAACATCTCCATCATTACTAGACATCCCCTCAGGTCTCTTTCTAGTCAAGCCCTGACTTCTGTCCCAGGGGCACCACTGTCTGACTCTATAGCCAGAGAATAGCTTTGCATGTTCTTAGATTTCAAATAAAAAGAATCACACAGAATGTATTTTCTTTGTGTCTAGCATCTGTAGCTCAACCCTATTTTTGAGATTCATCCATGTTATTGAGGGCACTAATAGTTCATTCCCCTTATTGCTGAGTAGTATTCCATTGTACGGCCATACAGCAATTTTTTGCCCATTTTTCCTGTTGATTTATATCAACATTCAGGTTGTTTCCAGGCTTTGGCAAATCTGAATAAGGTTATTGTGAACATTCTTGTATAAATCCTTTTGCGGACATGCACTTTCACTTTTCTTGGATAAATACCTAGAAGTAGAATTGATTGGTTGCTGATGGGGTAAATGTAAGTTTAACTTCCCAGAAATCTTTTCAAGAGTTCTCCAAAGTAGTGTTACTATTTTATAGTTCCACCAGCATAACATGAGAGTTCTGGCTATTCAATGTCCCCCTAATATTTGGTTTTGTCAGTGTTATATTTTAACCATTCTCATGAGTGTGAAATAGCGTCTATTAAAGGAATTGAAATTGTGAAAACTTCAAAACTATGAGTTCAGATGATTTCACTGATTCTATCAGAGATGTAAAGAACTCTTAAATGTTAGAAAAATGGAGGGTGAGTGAACACATCTGAGCGCATGCTGAGATCTAAGAATCAGTTACTCAACAGATTTCAAGCATTCTGCCCTCACACTGAGTCAAGAGATTCCTAGTGCCACTAATTCCCAAGACTTTGGCCAATTATGAGTTATTCATTAGTTGCAATTAGATTCTCCACTGCTGGCTTAGTATTCAGCGTTCTTGGGTCAGCTACTTAATCCCTACTCATCCATCAGTTTTCCAACTTCCTAAATTTTGTCACTGCAATCTCATCTCTCATTTTCTCCTCTTTCTGAATTTGTATTTTTTTATTTTTTTATTTTTTTATTATTATTATATTTTAAGTTTTAGGGTACATGTGCACAATGTGCAGGTTAGTTACATACATATACATGTGCCATGCTGGTGTGCTGCACCCATTAACTCGTCGTTTAGCATTAGGTATATCTCCTAATGCTATCCCTCCCCCCTCCCCCCACCCCATAACAGTCCCCAGAGTGTGATGTTCCCCTTCCTGTGTCCATGTGTTCTCATTGTTCAATTCCCACCTATGAGTGAGAACATGTGGTGTTTGGTTTTTTGTCCTTGCGATAGTTTACTGAGAATGATGACTTCCAATTTCATCCATGTCCCTACAAGGGACATGAACTCATCATTTTTTATGGCTGCATAGTATTCCATGGTGTATAAGTGCCACATTTTCTAAATCCAGTCTATCATTGTTGGACATTTGGGTTGGTTCCAAGTCTTTGCTATTGTGAATAGTGCCGCAATAAACATACGTGTGCATGTGTCTTGGCCATCAGAGAAATGCAAATCAAAACCACAATGAGATACCATCTCACACCAGTTAGAATGGCAATCGTTAAAAAGTCAGGAAACAACAGGTGCTGGAGAGGATGTGGAGAAATAGGAACACTTTTACACTGTTGGTGGGACTGTAAACTAGTTCAACCATTGTGGAAGACAGTGTGGCGATTCCTCAGGGATCTAGAACTAGAAATACCATTTGACCCAGCCATCCCATTACTGGGTGTATACCCAAAAGACTGCGCATTTTTAAAGACTTTTAAAAGCTGAAATTTATCAGTTTCCCATCACTGCTGTAACAAATTATGACAAACTGAGTGGCTTAAAATGCATTAATTTATTACCTTAGAGTTTTGTAGGTTAGAAGCTGGAAACAGGTCTCACTGGGATAAAAATACTGTGTCAGCAATGCTGTGTCTTTCTCAAGAAGCTCTAGGGGAGAATCTCTTTCCATATCCTTTCCAGTTTTTGGAAACCACCTGCACTCCTTGACCCATGATCTCTTTCCCCCATCTTCAAAGCCAGCAACAACAGATCAAGTCTTTCTCATATGTAATCACTCTGGCCTCTCCTGCCTCGCTCTTCGACTTTTGAAAACTGCTGTGATTACATGGGCCCACCTGAGTATTCCAAAATAATTCCCCTATCTTTTAATTTTTTAAATTAATTAATTGAAAAAAATTTGGATTCAGGAAGTTTGTTACATGGATATATTGCATGATGCTGAGGTTTGGGTTTATTTTATTTTATTTTATTTTATTTTTTGTTAATTGAGACAGAGTCTTGTTCTGTCACCCAGGCAGGAGTGCAGTAGCACAATCTCGGCTCACTGCAACCTCCGCCACCTGGGTTCAAGCAATTCTCATGCCTCAGCCTCCGGAGTAGCTGGGACTACAGGCGTGCGCCACTACCCTGGCTAATTTTTTTGTATTTTTGGTAGAGACAGGGTTTTGCCATGTTGGCCAGGCTGGTCTTGAACTCCTGACCTTAGGTGATCCACCTGCCTCTGCCTCCCAAAGTGCTGGGATTACAGACATGAGCCACCCATGCCCGGCCCAGGTTTGGGTTTCTAATGATCCCGTCACCCCAGTAGTGAATATTGTATGCAACAGGTAGTTTTTCAACCCTTGCCTATTCCCTTCCCCTCTTTTGTATTCCTTAGTGTTTATTGCCTCCATCTTCATGCCCATGTGTACTCAATGACTAATAATTAGCTCCCACTTATAAGTGAGAATATGCAGTATTTGGTTTTCTGTTTCTGTGTTAATTTGCTTAGAATAATGGTCTCCAGCTGCATACATGTTGCTGCAAAGGACATGATTTCGTTCTTCTTTATGGCTAGTATATACACAATAGATAGTATTTCATGGTGTATATATACCACATTTTCTTTATCCGTCCACCACTGATGGGCACCTGTGTTGATTCCATGTCTTTACAATTGTGAATAGTGCTGCAATAAACATACGAGTGCAGGTGTCTGTTTTGTAGAAAGATTTGTTTTCCTTTGGGTAGATACTCAGTAATAAGATTGCTGGATCAAATGATAAATCTATTTTTAGTTCTTTGAGAAATCTCCTAACTGCCTATCACAGGGGCTGAACTAATTTGCATTTCCACCAACAGTGTATAGGCATTCCCTTTTCTCTGCAACCTTACCAACATCTGTTCTTTTTTGACTTTCTAATAATAGCCATTCTGACTGGTGTGAAATGGTATCACATTGTGGTTTTGATTTGCATCTCTCTGATGATGCGTGATGTTGAGCATTTTTTCATACGTTTGTTGGCTGTCTGTATGTCTTCTTTTGAGAAGTGTCTGTTCATGCCCTTTGCCCACTTTTTAATGAGATTGTCTTTTTTCTGGTTGATTTGTTTAAGCTCCTTATAGATTCTATATATTAGTCCTTTGCCAGATGCATAGTTTGCAAATATTGTCTCCCATTCTGAAGGCTGTCTGTTTACTCCACTGATAGTTTCTTTCATTGTGCAGAAGCTCTTTAGTTTAATTAGGTCCCAATTGTCCATTTTTGCTTTTGTTGCATTTGCTTTTAAGGACTTAGTCATAAATTCTTTGCCTAGATCAATGTATAGAAGACTATTTCCTAGGTTTTCTTTTTGGGGTTTTATACTTTCAGATCTTACATTTAAGTCTTTAATTCATCTTGACTTAATTTTTGCATATGGTGAGAGGTAGGGGTCCAGTTTCATTCTCCTGTGTAGGGTCAGCCAATTTTCTCAGAATCATCTATTGAATAGGGCATCCTTCCCCATTATTTATTTTTGTTGACATTGTTAAAGGCCAGTTGGTTGTAGGTGTGTAGCTTTATTTATGGGTTCTCTATTCTGTTCCATTGGTCTATGTGTTTCTTTTTGTCTGAGTACCATGCTGTTCTGGTTACCGTAGCATTATAGTATAGTTTGAAGTTGGGTAATGTGATGCATCTGAGTTTACTCTTTTTGCTTAGGATTGCTTTGGCTATGTAGGCTCTTCTTTTGATTCCACAAGCATTTTAGAACAGTTTTTTCTTATTCTATGAAAAATGACATAGGTAATTTGATAGGAATAGCCTTGATCTATAGATTGCTTTGGGCAGCATAGACATTTTAACAATATTAATTCTTCCAATCCATAAGCATAGAATGCTTTTCCATTTGTTTGTGTCATCTGTGATTTCTTTCAGCATTGTTTTGTAGTTCTCCTTGTAGAAATCTTTCACCTCCTTGGTTATATGTATTCTTAGATATCATATTTTTTGTGTGGCTATTGCAAATGGAATTGTGTTCTTGATGGGGTTCTCTGCATGCATGTTATTGGTGTATAGAACTGTTACTGATTATTTTTATACATGAATTTTGTATCCTGAAACTTTACTGAAGTCATTGATTAGGTCTAGAAGTCTTTTGGAGGAATTTTAGGGGTTTCTAGGTACAGGATTATATCATCAGTAAACAGAGATAATCTGATATCCTCTTTTCCTATTTGGATGCCTTTTATCTCTTTCTCTTGCCTAATTGCTCTGGCTAGGATTTCCATTACTATATTGTATTAGTCCATTTTCACCCTGCTGATAATGACATACCTGAGACTGGGCAACTTACAAAAGAAAGAGATTTATTGGACTTACAATTCCACATGGCTGGGGAGGCCTCACAATCATGGAGGAAGGCAAGGAGGAGCAAGTCATATCTTACATGGGTGGCTGCAGGCAAAGAGAGAGCTTGTGCAGAGAAACTTCCATTCTTAAAACCATCAGATCTCCTGACACCATTCACTATCATGAGAACAGCCCAGGAAAGACCTGCCCCCATGATTCAGTCATCTCCCACTGGGTCCTCCCACAACACGTGGGAATTATGGGTGCTACTAGATGAGTTTTGGGTTGGGACACAGAGCCAAACCATACCATATGTTGAATAGGAGTGGTGAGAGTGGACATCCTTGTCTTTTTCTAGTTCTCAGGGAGAATGCTTCCAACTATTGCCTATTCAGTGTGATGTTGGCTGTGGGTTTGTCATAGAATGGCAGTATATTCCTTTGATTCCTAATTTGCTGAAGGTTTTTAGCATGAAGGGATGTTGGATTTTATCAACTGCATTTTCTGCATCTATTCAGATAATCATGTGATTTTTGTTTTGAAATTCTGGTTATGCGGTGAATCATATTTATTGGTTTGAATATGTTGAGCCATCTTTGCATCCCAGTAATAAAATTCACTTGATTGTGGTGAATTAACTTTTTTATTTTAATTTTTTATTTTATTTTAAGTTCCTGGATGCATGTTCAGGACATGGAGGTTTGTTACATAGGTAAACATATGCCATGGTGGTTTGCTGCACCCATCAACCCATCAACTAGGTATTAAGGCCTGCATGGATTAGCTATTTATCCTGATGCTCTCCCTCTCCCCAGCCCTCCAGCAGGCCCTGCTATGTATTTTTCCCCTCCCTGGATCCATGTGTTCTCATTTTTCAGCTCCCACTTATGAGTGAGAACATGTGATGTTTGGTTTTGTGTTCCTGTGTTAGTTTGCTGAGGATGATGGCTTCCAGCTTTATCCACGTCCCTGCAAAGGACATGATCTTGTTCCTTTTTATGGCTGCATAGTATTCCATGGTGTATATGTATCACATTTTCTTTATCCAGTCTATCATTGATGGGCATTTGAGTTGATTCCATGTCTTTGGTATTGTGAATAGTGCTGCAATAAACATACACGTGTGTGTATCTTTATAATAGAATGACTTATATTCCTTTGGTTATGTATCCAATAATGGGATTGCTGGGTAAAATGGTATTTCTGGTTCTAGATCCTTAAGGAATCACAACTCCGGTTTCCACAATGATTGAACAAATTTACATTCCCACCAACAGTGTAAAAGTGTTCCTATTTCTCCATGGCCTTGCCAGCATCTGTTGTTTCTTCACCTTTTAATAATCACCATTCTGACTGGTATGAGATGGTATCTCATTGTGGTTTTGATTTGCATTTCTCTAATTATCAGTGGTGTTGAGCTTTTTTTCATATGTTTGCTGGCTGCATAAATGTCTTCTTTTGAGAAGTGTCTGTTCATGTCCTTTGCCCACTTTTTGATGACGTTATCTCTTTTTTTCTTGTAAATTATTTTAAGTTCCTTGAAGATTCTGGATATTAGACCTTTATCAGATGAGTAGATTACAGAATTTTCTCCCATTCTATAGGTTTCCTATTTATTCTGATGATAGTTTCTTTTGCTGTGCAGAAGCTGTTTAGTTTAATTAGATTCCATTTGTCAATGTTTGCTTTTGTTGCAATTGCTTTTGGCGATTACATCATAAAATCTTTGCCTATGATGTCCTGAATGATATTGCCTAGATTTTTTTCTAGGGTTTTTATGGTTTGGGGTTTTACATTTAAGTATTTAATCCATCTTGAGTTAATTTTTGTAGAAGGTGTAAGGAAGGGATCCAGTTTCAGCTTTCTGCATATGGCTAGCCAGTTTTCCCAGCACCGTTTATTAAATAGGGAATCCTTTTCCCAGTGCTTGTTTTTGTCAGGTTTTTCAAAGATCAGATGGTTATATATCTGAGATCTTTATTCTGTTCCATTGATCTATGTGTCTGTTTTGGTACCAGTACCATGCTGTTTTGGTTACTTTAGCCTTGTAGTATAGTTTGAAGTTGGGTAGTATGATGGCTCCAGCTTTGTTCTTTTTGCTTAGGATTGTCTTGCATATATGAGCTCTTTTTTGGTTCCACATGAATTTTAAAGTAGTTTTTTCTAATTCTGTGAAGAATGTCAATGATAGTTTAATGGGAATAGCATTGAATCTATAAATTACTTGGGGCAGTATGGCCGTTTTCACGATATTGATTACTCCTATTCATGAGCATGGAATGTTTTTCCATTTGTTTGTGTCCTCTCTTATTTCTTTGAGCAGTGATTTGTAGTTCTCCATGAAGAGGTCCTTCACATCCCTTGTTAGCTGTATTCCTAGGTATTTTATTCTCTTTGTAGCAATTGAGAATGGGAGTTCATTCATGATTTGACTGTCTGTTTTTGGTGTATAGGAATGCTTGCGATTTTTGCACGTTGATTTTGTATCCTGAAACTTTGCTGAAGTTGCTTATCAGCTTAAGGAGCTTTTGGGCCAAGACAATGGGGTTTTCCAGATATAGGATCATGTCATTTGCAGAGATGATTTGACTTCCTCTCTTCCTATTTGAATACCCTTTATTTCTTTCTCTTGCCTAATTGCCCTGGCCAGAACTTCCAATACTATGTCAAATAGGAGTGGTGAGAGAGGGCATCCTTGTCTTGTGCCAGTTTTCAAAGGAAATGCTTCCAGCTTTTGCCCATTCAGTATGATATTGGCTGTGGGTTTGTCATAAATGGCCCTCATTATTTTGAGATATGTTCCATCAATACCTAGTTTATTGAGAGTTTTTAACCTGAAGGGATGTTGAATTTTATCGAAGGCCTTTTCTGCATCTATTGAGATAATCATGTAGTTTTTGTCACTAGTTCTGTTTATGTGATGAATTCTGTTTATTGATTTGCATATGTTGAACCAGCCTTGCATCCCAGGGATGAAGCCAACTTGATCATAGTGGATAAGCTTTTTGATGTACTGCTGGATTTAGTTTGCCAGTATTTTATTGAGGACTTTCACATCGAAGTCCATCAGGGATATTGGACTGAAGTTTTCTTTTCTGGTAGTGTCTCTGCCAGATTTTGGTATCAGGATGATGTGAACCTCATAAAATGAGTTAGGGAGAAGGCCTTCATTTTCAATTGTTTGAAATAATTTTAGAAGGAAAGGTAACAGGTCCTCTTTGTACCTCTGGAATAATCCAACTGTAAATCTGTCTGGGCTTTTTTTTGGTTGGTTAGCTATTAATTACTGCCTCAATTTCAGAACTTGTTATTGGTCTATTCAAGGGTTCCATTTATTCCTGGTTTAGTCTTGGGAGGGTATATGTGTCCAGGAATTTATCCATTTCTTCTAGATTTTCCACTTTATTTGCATACAGGTGTTTATAGTATTATCTGATGGTTGTTTGTATTTCTTTGGGGTCAGTGGTGATATCCCCTTTATCATTTTTATTGTGTCTGTTGGATACTTCTGTCTTTTCTTCTTTATTAGTCTAGCTAGCAGTCTATCTGATTTATTAATTTTTTCAGAAAACCAGCTCCTGGATTCATTGGTGTTTTGAAGGGTTTTTCGTGTCTCTATCTCCTTCGGTTTTGCTCTAATCTTAATTATTTCTTATCTTCTGCTAGCTTTTGGATTTGTTTCCTCTTGCTTCTCTAGTTCTTTTTGTTGTGATGTTAGGGTGTCAATTTGAGATCCTTCCAGCTTTCTGACGTGGGCATTTAGTGCTATAAATTTCCCTCTTAACACTGCTTTAGCTGTGTCCCAGAGATTCTTGTACATTGTCTCTTTGCTTTCATTGGTTTCAAAGAACTTCTTGATTTCCGCCTTAATTTAATTATTTACCCAGGAGCCATTCAGGAGCAGGTTGTTCAGTTTCCATGCAGTTGTGTGGTGTTGAGTGAGTTTCTTATCTTGAGTTTTAATTTGATTTCTCTGTGGTCTGAGAGACTGTTTGTTATGATTTCAGTTATTTTGCATTTGCTGAGGAGTCTTTTACTTCCAATTATGTGATTCATTTTAGAGTAAGTGCTGAGAAGAATGTATATTCTGTTGTTTTGGGGTGGAGAGTGCTGTAGAGATCTATCAGGTCCACTTGATCTGGAGCTCAGTTAAAGTCCTGAATATCCTTGTTAATTTTCTGTCTCAATGCTCTGTCTAATACTGACAGTGGGGTGTTAAAGTCTCCCACTATTATTGTGTGGGAGTCTAAGTCTCTTTGTAGGTCTCAAAGAACTTGTTTTATGAATCTGGGTGCTCCTGTATTGGGTGCATATATATTTAGGATTGTTAGCTCTTCTTGTTGATCCCTTTACCATTATGAAATGCCCTTCTTTGTCTTTTTTTATCTTGGTTGGTTTAAAGTCTGTTTTGTCAGAGACTTGGATTGCAACCCCTGCTTTTTTTCTACTTCCCATTTGCTTGGTAAATTTTCCTCCATCCCTTTATTTTGAGCCTATGTGTGTCTTTTCACATGACATGGGTCTCTTGAATACAGCACACCGATGGGTCTTGACTCTATCCAATTTGCCAGTATGTGTCTCTTAATTGGGGCATTTAACCCATTTAGATTTAAGGTTAATATTGTTATGTGTGAATTTGATCTTTTCATCATGATGCTAGCTGGTTATTTTGCACACTAGTTGATGCAGTTTCTTCAAAGTGTCATTGGACTTTATATTTTGGTGTGTCTTTGCAGTGGCTCATACCAGTTTTTCCTTTCCATAGTTAGTGCGTCCTTTCGGTGCTCTTGCAAGGCAGGCATGGTAGAGATAAATTCCCTCAGCATTTGCTTGTCTGAAAAGGATTTTATTTCTCCTTCGCTTATGAAGCTTAGTTTGGTCAGATATGAAATTCTAAGTTGGAAATTTTTTTCTGTTAAAAATGTTGAATACTGGCTCCCACTCTCTTCTGGCTTGTAGGGTTTCTGCTGAGAGGTCCATTGTTAGTCTGATGGGCTTCCCTTTGTAGGTAACCTGGCCTTTCTCTCTGGCTGCCCTTAACATTTTTTCCTTCATTTCAACCTTGGAGAATCTGATGATTATGTGTCTTGGAGTCAATTTTCTCATGGAGTATCTTACTGGGTTTCTTTGCATTTCCTGAATTTGAATGTTGGCCCATCTTGCTAGGTTGAGGAAGTTCTCCTGGATGATATCCTGAAATGTGTTTCCCAACTTAGTTCCATTCTCCCCATCTTCTTCAGGTATTCCTATCAGCCATAGGTTTGTTCTTTTTATATAGTGCCATATTTCTTGGAGGTTTTGTTAGTTCTTTTTCATTCTTTTTTCTCTAATCTTGTCTGCCTGCCTTATTTCAGCAAGATAGTCTTCAAGCTCTGATATTATTTCTCCTGCTTGATCGATTCAGCTATAGATACTTGTGTTTACATCACAAAGTTCTCATGTTGTGTTTTTCAGCTCCATCAGGTCATTTATGTTCCTCTCTAAATGGGTTATTTTAGTTAGCAGCTCCTGTAACTTTTTATCAAGTTTCTTAGCTTCTTTGCATTGGGTTAATACACGCTCCGTTAACTCAGTGAAGTTTGTTATTACCCACCTTCTGAAGCTTACTTCTGTCAATTTGTCCATCTCAGCCTCTGACCAGTTCTCTGTCCTTGCTGGAGAGGTGTTTGCCATCATTTGGAGGAGAAGAGGCACTCTGACCTTTCGAGTTTTCAGTGTTTTCTCATTGATTCTTTCTCATCTTCATGAGTTTGTCTGGTTTCAATCTTTAAGGCTGCTGACCTGTGGATGGGGTTTTAGTGGGAACTTTTTTGTTGATTCTGTTGTTGTTCCTTTCTGTTTGTTTGTTTTTCTTTCAACAGTCAGGTCCCTCTTCTGTAGGGCTGCCGCAGTTTGCTGGGGGATTCACTTCAGACCCTATTCACCTGGGTTCCTCCTGTACCTCTAGGTGTCACCTTAAGAGGCTGAAGAACATTAAAGATGGGTGCCTACTCCTTCCTCTGGGATCTCTGTCCTCCAAGGGCCCCAACTTGCTGCCAGTAAGAACACTCCTGTATAAGGTGTCTGGCAACCCCTGCTTGGGGAGTCTCACCTAGTCAGGGTACACGGGATCCAGGACCCATTTAATGAAGCACTCTGGCTGCCCCTTGGTGGAATGGGTGTGCTGTGCTGGGGGAAACCCACTCATCTGGGATGCCCAGATTCCTCAGAACTAGCAGAGGAAATACTAAATCTGCTGATTCAGAGATCACGTCCAACATCCACCCCTCCCCTTAGGGTCTCGGGCCCAGGGAGATCAGAGTTCTGTCCCTAAGCCCCTGGCTGAAGTTGCTAGAGTTCCTTCAGAGAGTCCCCACCCAGTGAGGAGGGATGGGTCAGGGTTCAGCCTAAAAAGGCAGTCTGGCCACAATCTGCCACAGCTGGTGTCCTGTGCTGTGGGGAATACCTCTTAGGATCAAGCTGTCCAGCATCTTAGGTAGCTAGCAGCCGCAGTGATGGCTGCTGTTCTTCCCCCAGGGAGCTCAGACAGCTTAGGCAGCAGACAGCTGCAGTGATGATGGCCGCCCCTGCCCTCAGGAACTCGGTAGTTTGGGGCAGACTCCAGCCTAGTGACTGTTGAGAATCTGTGCAGCTCTGTGGTTGGGACCCAAGGCCCTGGTGGTGTGGGCTGACAAGTGGAATCTCCTGATCTTCAGGTTGAACAAATCTGTGACAAAAGCACAATTTCTCAGGCTGGGTAGCATGCTCACTCACTGCCTCCCTTGGCTGGAGCTGGGGGTCCCCTTGCCCCGTGTGGCTCTCAGGTGGACCGATGCACCACCCTACTTTTCCTTGCTCTCCACAGATCACACCAACTGCCTAGTCAGTCCTGATAATAGAACCTTGATACCTCGGTTGCTGGTGCAGGATTCACATGTTGTTTTGGTTCTTTTCAGTGGGAGCCTCCGGCCGCAGCTGCTTCTAGTGCTGAATTAACTTTTTAATGTGCTGCTGAATTCAATATGCTAGTATTTTGTTAAGGATCTTTTGTGTCTATGTTCATCAGGGAAATTAGTCTGTAGTTTTCTTTTTCTGTTGTGACTTTGCCAGACTATTGTATCAGGATGATACTGGTTTTTTAGAATGAGTTATTCGCATTGTATCAGATAAAATAGACTTTAAATGAGTTAAGGAGAAGTCCCTCCTCCTTGATTTTTTGAAATAGTTTCAGTGGGATAGGGACCAAATCTTCGTAGATCTCGTAGAATTTGGCTATGAACCCATATAGTCCACAGCTTTTTTTTTTTTTTTGGTTGGTAAGTTTTTTATTACGGATTTAATTTTATTACTCATTGTTTCTCAGTTGAGGATTTCTGTTTCTTCCTCATTCAATCTTGGGAGGCTTTGTGTTTCTAGGAATTTAACCATCTCTTCTAGATTTTCTAGTTTGTGTGCATAGAGTTGTTCATAGTAGTGTCTGAGAATCTTTTGTATTTCTGTGGGATTAATTATGATGTCACCTTTGTCATTTCTGATTGTGCTTATTTGGGTGTTTTCTTTTTTCCTTTGTTAATTTACTAGCTGCCTATCAATTTTATTTATTTTTTCAAAAAAATCAACTTTTTGTTTCATTGATCCTTTTGTATGTCTTTTTGAGGTCACAATTTCATTTAGTTCTGCTCTAATTTTAGTTATTTCTTTTCTTCTGCTAGCTATAGGTTTAGTTTTTTATTGTTTTTCTAGTTTCTTTAGGTGTGAGATTAGGGATCTTTCTATCTTCGACATCTTTCTTCCTTTTTTTTCTTTCCTAGCCACTGGACAACCATTGGAACTATCTTCTTGATGTACACATTTAGCATTATAAACTTCCCTCTTAACACTGCTTTTGCCACATCTCAGAGGTTGTGGTATGTTGTGTCTGTATTTTCATTTGCTTCAAATAATTTTTGATTTCTGCCTTTTGTACCCAAAAGGTATTCAGAAGCAGCTGTTTAGTTTCCATGTGTTTGTGGTTTTTAGAGTTCCTCTTCATATTGATTTCTATTTTTATTCCACTGTGGTCTAAGAAGATGGTTGGTATGATTGAAATTGTTAAAAATTTTTTGTGACTTACTTTAGAACTGAGTATTTGGTCAATCTGATAGTATGCTCTGTGTTCAGATGAGAAGAATGTTTATTCTGTGGTTGTTGGTTGGAGTATTCTGTAGATGTCTATTAGGTCCAATTGGTCAAGGGCCGAATTTAAGTCCAGAATTTCTTTGTTAGTTTTCTGCCTTGATGATCTGTCTAATCCTGTCAGTGGGGTGCTGAAGTCCCCCATTATTATTGTGTTGCTGCCAAAGTCTTTT